>NC_000008.11:137526689-137828767 GCF_000001405.40 Homo sapiens | reverse complement strand
TGCCTAGCAATTTACTCTTAAAATGGTGGCTGGAACTAAAGGCATAGTCAAGGTTAATGCTCCTTTTCCTTTATTCCCAAATCAGATAGTGTTTAGGCTCTTTTTCATCAAATATAAAAATCCAGCCCAGTTCATGGCTCGTTTGGCAGCAACCCTGAGACACTTTTCAGCCCTAGACCCCAAAAGGTCAAAAGGCCGTCTTATTCTCAATATACATTTTATTACCCAATCTGCTCCCAACATTAAATAAAACTCCAAAAATTAAATTGTGGCTCTCAAACCCCACAACAGGACTTAATTAACCTTGCCTTCAAGGTGTACAATAATAGAGTAGAGGCAGCCAAGTAGCAACATATTTCTGAGTTGCAATTCCTTGCCTCCACTGTGAGACAAACCCCAGCCACACCTCCAGCACACAAGAACTTCCAAACACGCCTAAACTGCAGTGGCCAGGCGTTCCTCCAGAACCACTTCCCCCAGGAGCTTGCTACAAGTGCCAGAAATCTGGCCACCAGGCCAAGGAATGCCCAGCAGTCCTCCTAAGCTGTGTCCCAACTGTGTGGGACCCCACTGGAAATTGGATTGTTCAACTCACCTGGCAGCCACTCCCAGAGCCCCTGGAACTCTGGCCCAAGGCTCTCTGACTCCTTCCCAGATCTTCTCGGCTTAGCGGCTGAAGACTGATGCTGCCCAATTGCCTCGGAAGCCCTGTAGACCATCACAGACACCGAGCTTTAGGTAGCTCTCACAGTGGAGGGTAAGTCCTTCCCCTTCTTAATAAATACAGAGTCTACCCACTCCATATTACCTTCTTTTCAAGGGCCTGTTTCCCTTGCCTCCATAACTGTTGTAGGTATTGACAGCCAGGCTTCTAAACCTCTTAAAACTCCCCAACTCTGGTGCCAACTTAGACAATACTCTTTTAAGCACTCCTTTTTAGTTATCCCCACCTGCCCAGTTCCCTTATTAGGCCGAGACACTTTAACTAAATTATCTGCTTCCCTGACTATTCCTGGATTACAGCTACATCTCATTGCCGCCCTTCTTCCCAATCCAAAGCCTCCTTTTCGTCCTCCTCTTGTATCCCCCCCACCTTAACCCACAAGTATAAGATACCGCTACTCCCTCCTTGGCGACCGATCATGCACCCCTTACCATCTGATTAAAACCTAATCACCCTTACCCCACTCAATGCCAATATCCCATCCCACAGCATGCTTTGAAAGGATTAAAGCCTGTTATCACTTGCCTGCTACAGCATGGCCTTTTAAAGCCTATAAACTCTCCTTACAATTCACCCATTTTACCTGTCTTAAAACCAGACAAGCCTTAAAAGTTAGTTCAGGATCTATGCCTTATCAACCGAATTGTTTTGCCTATCCACCCCATGATGCCAAACACATATACTCTCCTATCCTCAATACCTCCCTCCACAATCCATTATTCGGTTCTGGATCTCAAACATGCTTTCTTTACTATTCCTTTGCACCCTTCATCTCAGCCTCTCTTCGCTTTTACTTGGACTGACCCAGACACCCATCAGGCTCAGCAAATTACCTGGGCTGTACTGCTGCAAAGCTTCACGGACAGCCTCCATTACTTCAGTCAAGCCCAAATTTCTTCCTTATCTGTTACCTATCTATCTCAGCATAATTCTCATAAAATACACGTGCTCTTCCTGCTGATCGTGTCTGACTAATCTCTCAAACCCCAGCACCTTCTACAAAACAACAACTCCTTTCCTTCCTGGGCATGGTTGGACACTTTCACCTTTGGATACCTGGTTTTGCCATCCTAACAAAACCATTATATAAACTCACAAAAGGAAACCTAGCTGACCCCATAGATCCTAAATCCTTTCCCCACTCCTCTTTCCATTCCTTGAAGACAGCTTTAGAGACTGCCCCGACCCTGGCTCTCCCTGACTCATCCCAACCCTTTTCATTACACACAGCCGAAGTGCAGGGCTGTGAAGTCGGAATTCTTACACAAGGACCGGGATTGTGTCCTGCAGGCTTTTTGTCCAAACAACTTGACCTTACTGTTTTAGGCTGGCCATCATGTCTCCGTGCAGCAGCTGCTACTGCCCTAATACTTTTAGAGGCCCTTAAAATAAAAAACTATGCACAACTGACTCTCTACAGCTCTCATAATTTCCAAAATCTGTTTTCTTCCTCACACCTGACGCATATACTTTCTGCTCCCTGGCTCCTTCAGCTGTACTCACTCTTTGTTGAGTCTCCCACAATTACCATTGTTCCTGGCCCGGACGTCAATCCGGCCTCCCACATTATTCCTGATACCACACCTGACCCTCATGACTGCATCTCTCTGATCCACCTGACATTCACCCCATTTCCCCACATTTCCTTCTTCCCTGTTTCTCACCCTGATCACACTTGGTTTATTGATGACAGTTCCACCAGGCCTAATCGCCACACACCAGCAAAGGCAGGCTATGCTATAGCACAAGCCACTAGCCCGCCTCCCAGAACCTCTCATTTCCTTTCCATCGTGGAAATCTATCCTCAGGGAAATAACTTCTCAGTGTTCCGTCTGCTATTCTACTACTCCTCAGGGATTATTCAGGCCCCCTTCCTTCCCTACACATCAAGCTCAGGGATTTGCCCCCGCCCAGGACTGGCAAATTAGCTTTACTCAACATGCCCCGAGTCAGGAAACTAAAATACCTCTTGGTCTAGGTAGACACTTTCACTGGATAGGTAGAGGCCTTTCCCACAGGGTCTAAGAAGGCCACCACGGTCATTTCTTCCCTTCTGTCAGACATAATTCCTCAGTTTGGCCTTCCCACCTCTATACAGTCTGATAGCAGACCGGCCTTTATTAGTCAAATCAGCCAAGCAGTTTTTCAGGCTCTTATATTCAGTGAAACCTTTATATCCCTTACAGTCCTCAGTCTTCAGGAAAAGTAGAACAGACTAATGGTCTTTTAAAAACACACCTCACCAAGCTCAGCCACCAACTTAAAAAGGACTGGACAATACTTTTACCACTTTTCCTTCTCAGAATTCAGGCCTGTCCTGGGAATGCTACAAGGGACAGCCCATTTGAGCTCCTGTATAGACGCTCCTTTTTATTAGGCCCCAGTCTCATTCCAGACACCAGACCAACTTGGACTGTGCCCCAAAAAACTTGTCATCCCTACTATCTTCTGTCTAGTCATACTCCTATTCACCGTTCTCAACTACTCATACATGCCCTGCTCTTGTTTACACTGCCGGTTTACACTGTTTCTCCAAGCCATCACAGCTGGTATCTCCTGGTGCTATCCCCAAACTGCCACTCTGAACTCTTGAAGTAAATAAATAATCTTTGCTGGCAAGGCTATGCTGAACCTCCTTAGGCACTCTCTAATTAGATGTCCTAGGTCCTCCCAATTCTTAGTCCTTTAATACCTGTTTTTCTCCTTCTCTTATTCCATTTAGTTTTTCAATTCATACAAAACTGTATCCAGGCCATCACCAATCATTCTAAATGACAAATGTTTCTTCTAACAACCCCACAGTATCACCCCTTACCACAAAATCTTCCTTCAGCTTAATCTCTCCCACTCTAGGTTGCCACGCTGCCCCTAATCCCCCTCAAAGCAGCCCTGAGAAACATCGCCCATTATCTCTCCATACCATCCCCCCCAAAAATTTCGCTGTCCCAACACTTTACCACTATTTCGTTTTATTTTTCTTATTAATATAAGAATACAGGAATGTCAGGCCTCTGAGCCCAAGCTAAGCCATCATATCCCCTGTGACCTGCAGGTACACATCCAGATGGCCGGTTTCTGCCTTAATTGATGACATTCCACCACAAAAGAAGGGAAAATGGCCTGTTCCTGCCTTAACTGATGACATTATCTTGTGAAGTTCCTTCTCCTGGCTCATCCTGGCTCAAAAGCTCCCCTATGGAGCACCTTGTGACCCCTACTCCTGCCCACCAGAGAACAACCCCCCTTTTTCCTTTAACTACCCAAATCCTATAAAACGGCCCCACCCGATCTCCCTTTGCTGACTCTCTTTTCGGACTCAGCCCCCCTGCACCCAGGTGAAATAAACAGCTTTATTGCTCACACAAAGCCTGTTTGGTGGTCTCTTCACAGGGACGCGAGTGAAAGTATCCTCACATGGCAGAAAGAGAAATAAAGAGGGCTCATGAGTGCCCTGCCCTCACGGCTTCATCTAAACATAATTACCTCCAAGGACTCTGCCTTCAAATACCATCACATTGGAGGTTAGGGCTTCAACACACAAATTTGGGAGGACATTCAGTTCATGAACTCCCATTTATTGTTTGTTTTTGTTTGTTTTGTTTTGTTTTGAGACAGAGTCTCACTCTGTTATCCAGGCTCTCAGGCTGGAGTGCAGTGATGCGATTTTGGCTTACTGCAACCTCTGCCTCCTGGGTTCAAGCAATTCTCCTGCCTCAGCCTCCAAGTAGCTGAGATTACAGGCATGCGCCACCATGATCGGCTAATTTTTTGTTGTATTTTTAGTAGAGATGGGGTTTTGCCATGTTGGCCAGGCTGGTCTGGAACCCCTGACCTCAAGTGATCAGCCCTCCTCAGCCTCCCAAAGCTGTTCATTGTTACTCAAAGCTTAACTCTTGGGGCTGCTAACTCCCCTGCATTTCTAGGTTGCATGTAGAGATGAACCCCCAGTGGATTCCTGTGATGTCCTTTGCAGCAGTGTCAACAGTGAAGTCCCAGATGACACGACTGGCAAGGATCTGAGGTGGGGCACTAGCAGGATGCAATGCATCTTAAAATAGGGATTGTTGCAATTGTGGCTAAAATAAGGGACAGGAAAGTCTGAGAGGATCTGAAATATTACACAAGATGTATTCAAGGCAGGCAGCTATATGCAGATTTATTCTGCATGTTTATTTTTAAAAAACAAAGGCACAAAAGAATCATCCAATGCTTAGTGAATGTTTGCCTCCTTCTCTACCTTGCCTTTTCTCTTCAGATGTATTGCATTCCTCATTCTTTACAATTAAAGTTAAAATCATTAGAAGAGCAGCCCTTACACCCAATCCTCAACTAGTTACAGGTGATGGAGCCAAAGAGTTAATATAATTACAAGACCTATGCAGTTCATCTTTCTTTAAAAAAACGTGCTCTTAATAATCGACACATGTGCTGAGTTTTAATAATTTTCCAATAACTATCACTCCAGGAGCCCATATTAAAGCCATATCACAGTGGGTTCATCCCCATGAATGCTCTCCACCTCAGTGAAAATGCCTTCAATCCAATTAGTCTGTGCAATTTAATTTGTTCAATGCAAATCACTAGGGTTTAATTGAATTTCATTAGACACAAATCAATAGGAATCAATTTCAAGAGATTATCCTCAACATTCATCAATAGAATTAAATTAAAATTATAGAAGATTTACCTAAATGGCTGACATGTTTCTAAAATTTATTGCAGGTTACTACGGTATCCGGTGGTTAGTGGTCATTTTGGAGGTTATGTACAGACTACTAATAACTTGCTCTCACTATTGGAGCTGGAGAAGAACTTAAGAAAAAAATAAATGCAAATTATACCATATACTCTTAAAGAACTTCACAAACAGATGGTTTATCTTCCCAACACCCAGAAAAAGTAGGCCACAGTAAGTTTCTCTTCAAAGGCGAGACTGAGACTGAGTTAATGTTGGGTGACTTGAGTATAGGTCTCAAGAATGCTAGGATGTGGATGTCTGTCCAATGACATTTTGATGTCTCCACTTTCTGCAAACTCTCATCTCTCACCTGCACCATGGAAAGTATTTGCAGGCATCTGTCTGCTTTTGCTTTTGTCCTTCAGCTATGTGTGTTCCTGGTAGAACAACCAGGGTGATCCTTTTAAAACATAATCATGATAGCTAATTTTGTAAATTGCTTACAATGTGCTAAGCTCTGTTTTAAGTACTTTTATGTGTTAACTCTTAGTTTTACATCTACTTTAAGTGCAGGTGCTGTTACTATCTCCTACTCACATATACGGAAGGTGAGGCACGAAATGTTTGCATTAGTGAAGGTTCTCCTGAGAAGCAAAACCAACAGGTTACACATAGTGAAGAATGATGATGAGCCTCACATGACTATGGAGGCTAAGAAGCCCCACAATCTGTCATCTGTAAGCTGGAGATCCAGGAAAACCAGTGGCATCTGAAAGGAAATTAAATATTGGGATCCCAAACTCATGAAGCCAAAGGGAAAAGTCAAGCTGGGAACTAGGTCACGCAAACCTGCCACATTCTTTTGGTTCCTAAATAAGATGGCTACAAGATGAAAAGCTACATGCTTACCCTATATTTTGCCCACAAGGAAATTCCTAGTGAGCTGCAAGACCTTTTAAGGTGTTTTTTAGTGTTAAAATTTTACCATAGCAATGTAAATTGATAGCTTATTTTAACAGATGCAGTCACACCCCTGCCCCCCCGACCGGTCTACTAGACACAAATACATATCTGATTGTTCCCCTGTCCATTTTGTCTATGTTGTCTCATATAAAATGCAGATACCCTGCATTTTTCCTCTGCTTCATTTGTCTATGTCATCTTATGTAAAAAACGAGGGTTCACCGAGCCAGACAAAGGCATGAATGACGATTTTTCTCTACCCACCTCTTACATGAAAATTGTATAATTCTCAATATCCCTCCCTTTCCCCTTTAAAATTGGAGCCCTCAAAATCATCTTTGGAGAAAGGCATAGACCTGTCTCCCAGGTGCACGTCCTTAACTTTGGCAAATAAGCCTCCTAAAATGATTGAGGCTTGTGCAGTCATTTTTCTTGATTGGCAGGTGTAACCTCAATTCTTCTCTGAAGTCCTGAAAACCAGGGGAGCCTATGGTGTAAACCCTAGTCAAAGGGCGGGAGAAGACCAGTGTCCCAGCTCAAACAGGCAGGCAGGAACGGAACAAATCCTCCCTCTTGTACTTTTTTTCTATTTAGGCCTTCAATGGATTGGATGATGCCCACCCACACTGGGAGAGCCATGTTCTTTTACTGAGTCCACCAATTCACATGCTAATCTCATCCAATACACCTTTATAGACACATCCAGAAATAACATTTATTCCAGGCACCCCAAGGCCCAGTCAGTTTGACACATAAAAGTAACCATTGCAGGGGTTAAGTAACCTGACCAAGGTTACTAAGCAAATAATTATCAGAGCCAGGGTTTAAACTCAGGCAGTCTGATTCTATAGCCTGTTTACTTATCCTGAATATGATTATATCACCGCTTAAAGTCCAGCATTGGCTCCCCATTAAAATTTAAAACAAAATCTGGACTCCTTAAGAAAGGCAGAATAATTGTCTGCTGCCTTCTGTCCGATCTCTTTAATCACTCCTAAACTCCCTTCCAGCCACATGAGCCATCCTAAAGTTCCCCAGAGCTACCAAATGTATTCTTTATTGAGAAAAGCCTTGGGAGGGCTTCTTCTCAAATTCAGGTGATGAGTTCCCAGGAAAGAAAGACTTGGTATTCTAAAAAAGGATAACTGAAAAAAAAGAGTAATGAATAGGATACTTACAAAGGTACGGCTTCATTAAAACTAAGAAGGGTCAGTGAATATACCTGGAATGGCAAGTGGGAAAGCTCATTACTATCCTTAACTCTGAAACAGCAAGAGAAGAAACAAGTTATCAGAACTTAGCAATACCTTTAGCTTTGGGGATGGATCAATTGGGAAAATAGTGGTTTACACAGGGGAGAAGCAACTAACAAATTTCAGCAAGGAGGGTGTGGCTTTGAGGTTGATCATCCTGGTCTCATTCTTTTTCCCCTCTGATCTGCTGATCACCTGCTGTTATTGCTCAATAATTGGAGCCAAGTGGTAGTCAGAAGCAACTCAACTGTTGGCCTCTTATATGCGAATATGTGTAAGAAGGGGTGACAGAGTGCTTGTGGAGAGGCAAATAGAATATCCATAACAAAGAAGACTCCCTTTAACATCTTTATTCATGATAGTAAGCTCCCCTATTTCAGTGACTATTAAAATACCTTAGTATGATTTATTTTTCTTGTAAATTGGTTTAAGTTCCTTATAGATGCTGGATATTAGACCTTTGTCAGATGCATACTTTGCAAATATTTTCTCCCATTTTTTAGGTTGTCTCTTTATTCTGCTGGTAGTTTGTTTTGCTGCACAGAAGCTCTTAAGTTTAATTAGATCCCACTTGTCAATTTTTGCTTGTGTCGTGATTGCTTTTGGCATCTTTGTCATGAAATCTTTGCTCATTTTTATGTCTAGAATGGTCTTGCCTAGGTTGTCTTCCAGAACTTTTATAATTTTGGGATTTACATTTACTCTTTAATCAATCTTGAGTTGATTTTTGAATATGCTGTAAGGAAGGGTTCCAGTTTCAATGTTCTGCACATGGCTAGCCAGTTATTACAGCACCATTTATTGAACAGAAAATGCTTTCCCCATTATTTGTTTTTGTCAACCTAGTTGAACATGAGATGGTTGTAGGTGTGCAGCCTTATTTCTGGGCTATTTTGTTCCATTGGAGTACGTGTCTCTTTTTGTACCAGTACCATGCTGTTTTGGTTACTGTAGCCCTGTAGTGTAGTTTTCTGAAGTCAGATAACATGATGCCGCTAGCTTTGTTCTTTTTGCTTAGGATTGCCTTGGCTATTCAGGCTCTTTTTGGTTCCATATGGATTTTAAAATAGTTCTTTCTAGTTCTGCGCAGAATGTTCTTGGTAGTTTGGTAGGAATATCATTGAATCTGTAAATTTCTTTGGGTAGTAGGGCCATTTTAATGATATTGATTCCTCCTGTCCATAAGTCTGGGATGTTTTTACATTTTTTTCTTGATGTCATCTCTGATTTCTCTGAGCAAGAATAGAACAAAAAAACCCATTTAAAAAGTGAGCAAAGACGTGAACAGTCACCTTTCTGAAGAAGACATACATGTTGCCAACAAGGAGATGAAAAAAGGTCAATATCACTGATCATTAGAGACATGCAAATCAAAACCACAATGAGATACTATCTCGCATCAGTCAGAATGAGTATTAATAAAAAGTCAAAAAATAACACATGCTGACAAAGTTGTGGAGAAAAGGGAACACTTATATACTGTTGGTGGAAATATAAATTAGTTCAACCATTATAGAAAGCTGTATGGGAATTCCTCAAAGCTAAAAACAGAACTACCTTTTGACCCAGCAATTCCATTACTGGGTATATACCCAGAGGAATATAAGTCATTCTACCATAAAGGCACATGCCTGCAAATGTTCATTGCAGCACTATTCATAATAGCAAAGACTGAAATCAACCTAAATGTCCATCAATGAGAGGTTGGACAAAGAAAATATGGTACATATGCCCTGTGGAATACTATGCAGCCATTAAAAAAGATTGAAATAATGGTTTTTTTTTTTGTGGCAACATGGAGGGCATCATTCTTAGCAAACTGACACAGGAACGGAAAATCAAATACCACATGTTCTCACTTACAAGTAGGAACTAAATGATGAGAACTCATGGACACACAAAAAAGGAACAGCAGACACTGAGGCCTACTAGAGGGTGGAGGGTGAGAGAAGGGAGAAGAGCAGAAAAAATAACTATTGGGTCCTAGGCTTAGTACCTGGGTGATGAAAAAATCTGTACAACAAACCCCTGTTACACAAGTTTACCTATAAAACAAACCTGCACATATACCTCCAAACCTAAAATAGAAGTTAAAAAAAAAGTATCCTACAGTGTTAAATGGCAACAATTTGTATGCCTTTGTTGTAATATCCCATATTCAAATAAACTATTACTTTATATATCTCCGCATTGTTTTCTTCCACTTAAACATAAGTTCCTCTGGTATGAAAATGATTGCATTTAGTTTGTGGCTCAGTGCATGGATCACTGTCTAGCATTAGAATATTGTTCAAATAAGGTTCTTGAATTCAAGAATAAAATGTTTGAAAAGAGAAATGAGAGAATGAATGGGTCCTAGGTTCAGACCTTTATTAAGTAAATTTTTTTTTGTCAGTTAACTTGGCTATGTCTTTATTCATATTAACTTTTTTAAAAATTTTATTATTATACTTTAAGTTTTAGGGTACATGTGCACAACGTGCAGGTTTGTTACATATGTATACATGTGCCATGTTGGTGTGCTGCACCCATTAACTCGTCATTTAGCATTAGGTATATCCCCTAATGCTATCCCTCCCCCCTCCCCCCACCCCACAACAGGCCCCAGTGTGTGATGTTCCCCTTCCTGTGTCCATGTGTTCTCATTGTTCAATTCCCACCTGTGAGTGAGAACATGAGGTGTTTGGTTTTTTGTCCTTGTGATAGTTTGCTGAGAATGATGGTTTCCAGTTTCATCCATGTCCCTACAAAGGACATGAACTCATCATTTTCTATGGCTGCATAGTATTCCATGGTGCATATGTGCCACATTTTCTTAATCCAGTCTATCGTTGTTGGACATTTAGGTTGGTTCCAAGTCTTTGCTATTGTGAATAGTGCCGCTATAAACATACACATGCATGTGTCTTTATAGCAGCATGATTTATAATCCTTTGGGTATATACTCAGTAATGTGATGGCTGGGTCAAATGGTATTTCTAGTTCTAGATCCCTGAGGAATTGCCACACTGACTTCCACAATGGTTGAACTAGTTTACAGTCCCACCAACAGTATAAAAGTGTTCCTATTTCTCCACATCCTCTCCAGCATCTGTTGTTTCCTGACTTTCTAATGATCGCCATTCTAACTGGTGTGAGATGGTATCTCATTGTTGTTTTGATTTGCATTTCTCTGATGGCCAGTGATGATGAGCATTTTTTCATGTGTCTTTTGGCTGCATAAATGTCTTCTTTTGAGAAGTGTCTCTTCATATCCTTTGCCCACTTTTTGATGGGGTTGTTAGTTTTTTTCTTGTAAATTTGTTTGAGTTCATTGTAGATTCTGGATATTGGCCCTTTGTCAGATGAGTAGGTTGCAAAAATTTTCTCCCATTCTGTAGGTTGCCTGTTCACTCTGATGGTAGTTTCTTTTGCTGTGCAGAAGCTCTTTAGTTTAATTAGATCCCATTTGTCAATTTCGGCTTTTGTTGCCATTGCTCTTGGTGTTTTAGACATGAAGTCCTTGCCCATGCCTATGTCCTGAATGGTATTGCCTAGGTTTTCTTTTAGGGTTTTTATGGTTTTAGGTCTATCATGTAAGTCTTTACTCCATCTTGAATTAATTTTTGTGTAAGGTGTAAGGAAGGGATCCAGTTTCAGCTTTCTACATATGGCTAGTCAGTTTTCCCAGCACCATTTATTAAATAGGGAATCCTTTCCCCATTGCTTGTTTTTGTCATGTTTGTCAAAGATCAGATAGTTGTAGATATGCAGCATTATTTCTGAGGGCTCTATTCTGTTCCATTGATCTATATCTCTGTTTTGGTACCAGTACCATGCTGTTTTGGTTACTGTAGCCTTGTAGTTTAGTTTGAAGTCAGGTAGCGTGTTGCCTCCAGCTTTGTTCTTTTGGCTTAGGATTGACTTGGCAATGTGGGCTCTTTTTTGGTTCCATATGAACTTTAAAGTAGTTTTTTCCAATTCTGTGAAGAAAGTCATTGGTAGCTTGATGGGGATGGTATTGAATCTATAAATTACCTTGGGCAGTATGGCCATTTTCACGATATTGATTCTTCTTACCCATGAGCATGGAATGTTCTTCCATTTGTTTGTGTCCTCTTTTATTTCATTGAGCAGTGGTTTGTAGTTCTCCTTGAAGAGGTCCTTCATGTCCCTTGTAAGTTGGATTCCTAAGTATTTTATTCTCTTTGAAGCAATTGTGAATGGGAGTTCACTCATGATTTGGCTCTCTGTTTGTCTGTTATTGGTGTATAAGAATGCTTGTGATTTTTGTACATTGATTTTGTATCCTGAGACTTTGCTGAAGTTGCTTATCAGCTTGAGGAGATTTTGGGCTGAGACGATGGGATTTTCTAGCTATACAATCATGTCATCTGCAAACAGGGACAATTTGACTTCCTCTTTTCCTAATTGAATACCCTTTATGTCCTTCTCCTGCATGATTGCCCTGGCCAGAACTTCCAACACTATGTTGAGTAGGAGTGGTGAGAGAGTGCATCCCTGTCTTGTGCCCGTTTTCAAAGGGAATGCTTCCAGTTTTTGCCCATTCGGTACGATATTGGCTGTGGGTTTGTCATGGATAGCTCTTATTATTTTGAGATTCGTCCCATCAATACCTAATTTATTGAGAGTTTTTAGCGTGAAGCGTTGTTGAATTTTGTCAAAGGCATTTTCTGCATCTATTGAGATAATCATGTGTTTTTTGTCTTTGGTTCTGTTTATATTCTGGATTACATTTATTGATTTGCATATGTTGAACCAGCCTTGCATCCCAGGGATGAAGCCCACTTGATCATGGTGGATAAGCTTTTTCATGTGCTGCTAGATTTGGTTTGCCAGTATTTTATTGAGGATTTTTGCATTGATGTTCATCAAGGATATTGGTCTAAAATTCTCTTTTTTCGTTGTGTCTCTGCCAGGCTTTGCTATCAGGATGATGCTGGCCTCATAAAATGAGTTAGGGAGGATTCCCTCTTTTTCTATTGATTGGAATAGTTTCAGAAAGAATGGTAACAGCTTCTCTTTGTACCTCTGGTAGATTTCGGCTGTGAATCCATCTGGTCCTGGACTTTTTTTGGTTGGTAAGCTATTGATTATTGCCTCAATTTCAGAGCCTGTTATTGGTCTATTCAGAGATTCAACTTCTTCCTGGTTTAGTCTTGGGAGGATGTATGTGTCGAGGAATTTATCCATTTCTTCTAGATTTTCTAGTTTATTTGCGTAGAGGTGTTTATAGTATTCTCTGATGGTAGTTTGTATTTCTGTGGGATCGGTAGTGGTAGCCCCTTTATCATTTTTCATTGCGTCTATTTGATTCTTCTCTCTTTTCTTCTTTATTAGTCTTGCTAGCGGTCTATCAATTTTGTTGATCTTTTCAAAAAACCAGCTACTGGATTCATTAATTTTTTGTAGGGTTTTTTGTGTGTCTGTTTCCTTCAGTTCTGCTCTGATCTTAGTTATTTCTTGCCTTCTGCTAGCTTTTGAATGTGTTTGCTCTTGCTTCTCTAGTTCTTTTAATTGTGATGTTAGGGTGTCAATTTTAGATCTTTCCTGCTTTCTCTTGTGGGCATTTAGTGCTATAAATTTCCCTCTATGCACTGCTTTGAATGTGTCCCAGAGATTCTGGTATGTTTTGTCTTTGTTCTCGCTGGTTTCAAAGAACATCTTTATTTCTGCCTTCATTTCATTATGTACCCAGTAGTCATTCAGGAGCAGGTTGTTCAGTTTCCATGTAGTTGAGTGGTTTTGAGTGAGTTTCTTAATCCTGAGTTCTAGTTTAATTGCACTGTGGTCTGAGAGACAGTTTGTTATAATTTCTGTTCTTTTACATTTGCTGAGGAGTGCTTTACTTCCAACTATGTGGTCAGTTTTGGAGTAGGTGTGGTGCTGAAAACAATGTATATTCCGTTGATTTGGGGTGGAGAGTTCTGTAGATGTCTATTAGGTCCGCTTGGTGCAGAGCTGAGTTCAATTCCTGGGTATCCTTGTTAACTTTCTGTGTCATTGATCTGTCTAATGTTGACAGTGGGGTGTTAAAGTCTCCCATTATTATTGTGTGGGAGTCTAAGTCTCTTTGTATGTCACTAAGGACTTGCTTTATGAATCTGGATCAAACTACTCTGAGCTACAGGAGGAATTTCAAACCAATGGCAGAGAAGTTAAAAGCTTTGAAAAAAAATTAGATGAATGGATAACTAGAATAACCAATGCAGAGAAGTCCTTAAAGGACCTGATGGAGCTGAAAACCAAGGCACGAGAGCTACGTGACAAATGCAGAAGCCTCAGTAGCCGATGTGATCAACTGGAAGAAAGGGTATCAGTGATGAAAGACGAAATGAATGAAATGAAGAGAGAAGAGAAGTTTGGAGAATAAAGAATAAAAACAAACAAACAAAGCCTCTAAGAAATATGGGACTATGTGAAAAGACCAAATCTACATCTGATTGGTGTACCTGAAAGTGACGGGGAGAATGGAACCAAGTTGGATATTGGATATCCAACTGCAGGATATTATCCAGGAGAACTTCCCCAATCTAGCAAGGCAGGCCAACATTCAAATTCAGGAAATACAGAGAATGCCACAAAGATACTCCTCGAGAAGAGCAACTCCAAGACACATAATTGTCAGATTCATCAAAGTTGAAATGAAGGAAAAAATGTTAAGGGCAGCCAGAGAGAAAGGTCGGGTTACCCACAAAGGAAGCCCATCAGACTAACAGCTGATCTCTGGGCAGAAACTCTACAAGCCAGAAGAGAATGGGGACCACTATTCAACATTACTAAAGAAAAGAATTTTCAACCAACAATTTCATATCCAGCCAAACTAAGCTTCATAAGTGAAGGAGAAATAAAATACTTTACAGACAAGCAAATGCTGAGAGATTTTGTCACCAACAGGCCTGCCCTACAACAGCTCCTGAAGGAAGCACTAAACATGGAAAGGAACAACCAGTGCCAGCCACTGCAAAAACATGCCAAATTGTAAAGGCCATCAAGGCTAGGAAGAAACTGCATCAACTAATGAGCAAAATAACCAGCTAACATCATAATGACAGGATCAAATTCACACATAACAATCTTAACTTTAAATGTAAATGGGCTAAATGCTCCAATTAAAAGACACAGACTGGCAAATTGGATAAAGAGTCAAGACCCATCGGTGTGCTGTATTCAGGAAACCCATCTCACGTGCAGAAACATACATAGGCTCAAAATAAAGGGACGGAGGAAGATCTATCAATAAAATGGAAAACAAAAAAAGGCAGGGGTTGCAATCCTAGTCTCTGATAAAACAGACTTTAAACCAACAAAGATCAAAAGAGACAAAGAAGGCCATTACATAATGGTAAAGGGATCAATTCAACAAGAAGAGCTAACTATCCTAAATATATGTTAAGTAAATTTATGTTGGTAAAATGCACAGGGACTGTTAAGGACTAGGGGCTGATCAGAGTTACACACGTTCCCACCTATTCAGCAGTTCCTGTCTAAGGGAGTGTCTGGCACATGTCGTTCAACATTCTGGAGTCAGCCTCGTTCCTGTCTAGTGTCCCATTTTTAG
Organism: Homo sapiens; assembly: GCF_000001405.40. Classification (NCBI taxonomy): domain Eukaryota; kingdom Metazoa; phylum Chordata; class Mammalia; order Primates; family Hominidae; genus Homo; species Homo sapiens. Next base: position 137,813,588 of record NC_000008.11, on the reverse strand, counting down.
ATGACAAATCACTAGTCTTTGGAATGAAATAATTGAAAGAAATTTTAATGACTACATGGACAAAGGATTCTCAAAACTTTGAATGACAATCATTTGGGAATCTTCTGAAAAATGCATATTCCATGACCTCACTCCAGAACTTCTGTTTCAGTAATCCTACTCTGGGGCTTAAAAATCCACTTTATCTTAAGCTTCCTAAATGACTCAGGGATAGATGGTCATCAGACAAAATTTCCAGAAATGTTGATTTAGACCAACATCCTGCTTACTGTGAGAACCCTCTGTATATCATTTTTCTTGAAGTCTAGTAACTTGATTTCTATCAGTGACAGCAAGTTCACTATGTTATGCCAACAGTGTTCCTAGTCTTAGATTTTGTGCACTGACTTTTTGAGTAGACTTCAAAATTCCACAACATGCACTTCTAGTTAAATATTCTGTTACATTGCAGTTGAAAGCATTTCTCAGTGAAATATTGCAGAGATCCAGTAGGAAAGTAGAAGAAGTTTAAAATATAAAATGGGAGTTGGAGTGGGGAGATGTTAGTCAAAGGATACACAATTTAACTTAGGAGGAATAAGTTCATGTGAGTTATTATATAACACTTTGGCTATAGTTGCTAACAATGTATTATATTATTTATATCCTTTGCAGGAACATGGATGAAGCTGGAAACCATCATTCTCAGCAAACTAACAGAGGAACAGAAAAGCAAACACCGTATGTTCTCACTCATGATTGGGAGTTGAACAATGAGAACACATGGACACAGGGAGGGGAATATTACACACCGGGGCCTATCAGAGCGTGGGAGGCTACGAGAGGGATAGCATTAGGAGAAATACCTAATGTAGATGACGGGTTGATGGGTGCAGCAAACCACCATGGCTCATGTATACCCATGTAACAGACCTACACATTCTGCACATGTATCCCAGAACTTAAAGTATGATTTAAAAATATATATAGAGAGAGAGATATATAAATTGCTGAGAGTGGATTTTAAGTGTTCTCACCACACAACAAAATAAGTATGTGAAGTAAACATATATTAGTTAGCTTGATTTAGCCATTTCACACTATATAAATATTTCAAAACAACATGTTGCACACTATAGACAATTTTTATTGGTCAACTAAAAATAAAATTTTTAAAGGGAGAAAATAAGAGAGAATTGGCATCAGGGTTGCAAAGGAATGAATAAATACATGGGCCATGAAAAACTGATCAATATAAGGGTTTGAGAGGAAGGTGAACAGTTTGCAAAGTTGTAACTTTGAAAGATCTCCCTTATTAATTTATTTGCTCGTTTAAAAGAGTCAGGGTACAATGGAATATTCAACTTAATCTAGAAGAGGTAGAGTGGACTGAAATTAATTTCCCTCTAACATGCATTTGTTGCTCTAATCAACTATCTAGAGCTACACAAAATACATACGATTTTCTAAAATTATTTAAATTCTTGAAGGTAAATGCCATTTCTTCTCTTATAGATGATAGACCTTCAGACTTTCACATGACTCTTTATAAATAGTCCCCATGCTCAAAACGACAAACACCACTCTCTTAGATTTCAACTTAGCAAGGCATCCCAAACTAAACTTCACATCCAAGGGAGAAGGCAAATGAAGGAGAGTAATGACCAGCTATTTGTTTGAGACAATAGGTACATTCATCAGATTACCTCCAAACATCAGCCAAGGGATTTTAGTTTGGAACAAAGATAGTTGGAATATTAATTATTTTCAAATGGTGGAAGAGCTGCCATAGAGAATTAGAGAAAATTTTAAACTAGAAGTTTGCAAAAAATATATTCAAATAATAGCTTTGTTTTTATTCTAAAATGTGACCTTGGCTAAGCCACATAATCTCTCTGGGTCTCTGTATGTGGGAGCTACTGATAATACCTGTATCTCTGTTTCAGGTGATGATCAAAATGCCTATTTTGTGATTTGTGAAATGAAATGTGCTGTAGGCATGTAAGGTGATTTTTACAAATAATTATTTTCTTGTTGTTTTTGAAGTTCCAGAGTACAGGAAAGGAAACAGGAAAAACATAACTGAGGAATAGTTGTTAGGTCGGTGAGACATTGAACCTTCTAACATCTGAAACTGTCCACTAACTGGCAAGAGCATTTCAATAAAAAGCAAACACCTCATCATATTGAATCATAGTGAATATATAAAAAGACACTGTACACATTTCTTCAGATATACATACTGTAATTGTCATTCTAAATTGTTAAAAAATTACTATATATAGTAATTCTAAAATATATAATATATAATACATAAATATATATTATATATATAAATTATATATATATACACACATATATATTAGAATGGATTTCACACTGGGTTTTACTCCCATTATGTGATGCATAAAAAAGTAAACAACAATAAAACAGTTAAATTAATGAGCTTGGTTGGTTTTCAAAACATGTTAGGCCCAATATGTTAGAGAATTAATATAGGGATTTTAAAAATGTGTTAAACTCAACATGTTCTTACTAATAACAGGGGATTTCTGATATCAAGGACCAGTTAATGTGGTTAATATTTTGTATTAGAAGGAAAGGGAAGAGATGTGCTGGGCAAAAGAGGAAAATATAGATTTTTTAAAAATAAATAGAAATCTGAGCTAATATTAATAAGGGTAAAAAAGGAAAAAGTGATAACATCATGTGGAACATTCCAGAAGTTATGTGCAGGGCTCAGTATGGGGGCAACACATCAATAGCATATATATACAAGGCCAACCTCTTCCTCTCCATTCCCAGAAATCTAGTAGTGGGGCACTGTATGTGTACAGGTAACATGTTAAATAGATAGGCTGTGCTGGATGCTATGGTTGCAGAATGTGGTTGAAGAAGAATTGCGAAGCCAACAAAGCAAGGGTTGGGGCAGAGTTTATGAGTTATATGAAGTTTGTGTGGGGACTGAGAATTCTGGATTTTAGACATCCTGTGTCCTGCATGGCAACTCCTCCACCCCCACCAGTCATGTCAGGTGGAGGCCACTATAGCAGATATAGTACGCCTACATTAAGGGAAGGAGGTAGTTCTACGTAATGAAAACTCACTTTCCAAGTTGACCCTTCTTAATCCTCTGCTGGAAAACCAGTGTACTGTGATACCCAAGGGCATGGTTTTATCCTTTGGTGCCACTATTCATCATATCCTCATTGCATTGGAAAAATTAATTGATTACTCTTGACTTCACTTTTCTGTCAAATTAAAATTCCATTACCATTCATTTGAAAAGATCTGATGTGGTTTAAGTGAGATTATATAGTGTGTGGATCATTGCTCAGCATGTGATAAGCACTCAGACATTTTAGCTAAATGAAAACAACACTAATACCAGTACTACTAAAACTGAGCCCTAAAGTAATCACCTGAGTTTTATTTAAACAAAAACATAATTTTCTTCCATCTTTCTGTAAAATTGTTCAACAAGAAAATATTAACATTCATAGATGATTTCAGAGTTTATAGGAACTTTTGCATACAGCTCACTTATCAGAGCAACTCAGTTGGATCCTGTTATTAATTTCCTCACTTTAGAAATGAAGGGACTGAGATCAAGAAAAGGAAGTGACTTGCTCAAGGATACATATACAACAAGTAACCATGCTAAGAATTCTCATTTGATGTGCGATTTCCCCCAATCAGTGACTATAGATATATATAGATACATAGATGTGTATATATATAGATGATAGATAGATACGTAGATGGGGATACAGATACTACACCTGTGTATACCATATCTATGTATGTTTATATGCTATTTGTATGTTCCACTTCGGATATCTTCTCACATTCAGATATCTAGTGTCCACATGTTTTTTTCCCTGGATTCCTCTCGAAACATAATCATATGGCAAATAAAGTGAGTTCTGCAATAAACTTTAAGATTTAATATAATACATTTTCAGGGAGGGTGTGGGCAGAAAAATTGTGTGGCTTTAAGTTTTCTTAGCAAATAAGTGACTTCCCTCCTAAGATGCAGCTGCTTTTCTTCATTTTTTGTAACTGTTTTATGTTTCACGAAATTGCTCTGTCCTGATTTTAACTGTGTCATATTCCAGCTCTCAGAGGGTAGCCAAAATTTGGAAACAAAATGTTGTTTTGCTAATTCCCATTTGTTCTGAGATTTCTCATTTGCTTATACATGACCACATTTAACTTTATAGCCTTCAGAATTTTCCTTATCAGGATTTTTAACTTCTTGCTCGATCAGCCCCAAATCTGGGACATTTGGGTAGGATTTTATTGACTATACCCAGAATATATTAATAGTTTCTACATTAAGGGAAAAAACAACTTAATAAGACAATTGCTAATGATAAGACCAGGTAATTTGTAAAAGCATACATGGGAGACATTTGACAAAATACAAATGCACTAGAAATGAAGGCTATATAAATTAAAGAAGCAGTTAGATTCAATTTTTAATCTACAAGATGAGAGGTTTTAAAATAAATTTAAAAAATTAAAATGATCATATTTTGGGGGGGAAAGATGTTCACTAATACACGAAGATAGGAATACAAATTTCAGAAGTACTTATAAAAAGGAATATATCATCATTTTTAAATCCAAAATATGCTCACCTTTAAATTTATAAATTCATTTTCATAATAGATACATTTGACAATCAATTAGATATTTCTCTCCTACCTTCCTGTCTTATCCTCTGTGTTCTCACTGGGAGAAGAGACAAGCTAAGGAAAGAAGATGGGAAAATGTTTCCAATTTTATTTGAAAGGGAAAAATCCCTATGAAAACAATTACTATGCTGCACAAATTGTAATCCACACTCAAAACGGAAGGCTGTGGATCAAGCTCTCCCAGTCCTGTATGTTTATTTCCATGTGTCTTAGGTGTGCAGAACAACTGTCAATAGATGGTGTCGGCTGGGCATGGTGGCTCACGCCTATAATCCCAGCACAGATCACTTAAGGTCAGGAGTCCAAGACCAGCCTGGCCAATATGGTGAAACCCCATCTCTACTAAAAATACAAAAATTAGCCAGGTATAGTGGCGGGCACCTGTAATCCCAGCTGCTCTGGAGGCTGAGGGAGGAGAATCACTTGAACCCAGGGAGCAGAAGTTGCAGTGAGCTGAGACTGCAGCACCACTGCACTCCAGCCTGGGTGTCGCAGTGAGACTCTGTCTTAAAAAAAAAAAAAAAAAAGAAAAAAAAAAAGAAAGAAAAGAAAAGAAAAATAGATGGTGTCAGTTGTTCCTCTAAAGAATTTTATACGACCCACAGACTTTCTCTGATCTGTCGCTGGCATACATAATGCTACCTATTAAAACTAATTAGTTGTGCTCCTTTGGTATAATTAATAAGCAATAACCACACTGTTGTTTGAGGATGCTAACATTTTAATGTCCTCTTGTTATCAGCCTCACTTGGATACTGAGGAGTATAATGGTTCCACAGAGTCATAAAGTAGTCAGGACCCTTTTTAGCTTTATTGTTATTGCCAACTCTAGCCTATTTTTGACTGTGGTGTTGAACCATTTCAGATAATTGAGATAGTTACAGGCACTGGGTAAGAAATAGTTATGACATGAATGTGAATACAAGGTGATTACATTTATTGCCTGTGTCTTCACAATTAGAATGAGAAATTTAAGATACGAAATTTAGCTCAAACGATTCTGGCTCTTTAAGCTAATTAAATACCCTGAAGTCTCCTAAAGCCTTATTTTGATACTCATTAGTGGACAGAGAAGTTTGGGATACCCCAAGATGTGCTAGTTCCCTGTAGTCTAGAATAAAACAGAAGTCTAATCCACCCATTCAACATGTACTCACTAAGTATATGACACTAAGTGCTGGGCTCTTTCTTGATAATTGAAAATATTGTCTCCACTTACATGTAGCTTTCAGAAAACATCATAGACTCTCAAAATTAGAGACAGAATTAAAAGGTATCTAGTTCAACTCTCATTGAATCCTTGAGTAGCAAACCCGAAGACCTCATCTAGTAGCTTTTCAGCCTGGAATTTGACATCTCAAGCTTTGTTTAACCTTACAGTTTTCTTTGGGGCATTGCAAGAGGTCTGCCTCTTCTTTCACAGGGATATGTTCCGTTATTATGCAAACCCAACCTGATTTCTCACATGCCTGTTCATTCTGCTGTTTACTGTATAACATGATTTTGAATCCTTCCAGGACTCTTCCTGTTTGGGTCTGTATGTTTGTCTGTGGGTCTGTATGGCTTCTTAAGTCTGATGTCTAAAATGGAATTCAGTTGTCTTGCCATGATTCTTTCAATAGAGAGAGGGACTATTGGACTATGAACACATCCTTTATTCAAGATAGTATCTTTTAAATGTAAACCAAGTTCACCTTGGAATAAAGGAAAAAGAAAACAACATATAAACATTGACATAGAAATTAGTCTGTCAAGGGAATCACTTCAACTCTCCCATGAGGAGATTCACCTCATGTATCACTGTGCTGACAACAGAGAGTGGGCACTCTGCTGGAGTATCAGAGATCACTTCCCTAGAGAAGTCAGCTTAGCTGGGCCTTAACAATGGGGATACACTTCAAAGAATAAAAGATTTTAATGAATAGAGAACTTTACAAAATGTCAAATACCAAAGATAAGAGGTGGAAGTGCTACTTTGAATTATCCAAAAAGACAAGTAATCAAAATCAGAATGCACTGACTCACCTGAGATGTACAAGGCCCTCTTGTCCTCCAGAAAGTTGGAGTCTACCAGTAATAAGGACATGTAGACATCTTGTTCACACAAACCAGAGCAGGTCATTGTTAACTGTGCCTCTTATGGCAGCACTGAGCTAATAGTGGTTAATTCTCCCTGGAGAAAATTGGAAATGGCTTCCCAGAAGGTGAAAACTAGTGCCAATTATAAACAATAGCTAAAATATATTCTATATTTATATTGTGCCAGCATTGTGCTAAAAGTAATATGTGTCACTTTTTATTTCTTGCCCAGATTCTAATACAGAGCTATTATTCCTTCCTTCCCTCCCTCCCTCCTTCCCTTTCTTTCCTTCTTTCCTCCCTCCCTTCCTTCCTTCATATATGTAATATGAATGTACTCAATCTAATACATTCTGTTATAGATAAGGAAAGTTGAGGTTTTAGAGATATAAACCTGGTATATAACTTACCAGGGTCCCAAAGCAAGCCAGTGGCATAATAAGTAAGAACACAGACAGTTTGACTCAAGAGTCTTCAGTCACTGCTACATAACACTAATCTCGTGTTATGCTTGGCCAATTCATAACCAGTGGTTTATGGGCTTGTCATTAACTTTCCATTTACCTGAAATTAGTTTTGACACTGAATTATGGCTTCAAGTTAACTGAGGAGTTTCTGCCAACAGAAAACAAAATTCCTCCTAATGTTGATAAAGGGCTGTTACGTTGACTCTCTTGATTCACTTGTGCTCTACAACTTTGCTATTCAGTGTTGTGTGAATTACAGCCATCACCATCTCCTGTGAGCTTGTTAGAAATGGAGAACATTGGGCCCCACCACGGTTACACTGAACTAGGATTTGCACTCTAACAAGACCACCAGGTATGTTGCTATAAACTGACATGCATTATCTGGGAAGACTTCCACTCCACAGATGCTGCTGATGTATAGGGGCGGTGAGCACAACAGCAGATTCAGCCTAACCAGGCTCATGTGCTCAGGAATGGACCAGACTACCAACTGACACAAAGCTAAAAATATCAAGGCTTAATTTGATTTACTTTACTTTAAAGTACTGAATTTATGATAATACCACTAAGACCAATAGTGTTAACGGAAACAATCACAGTTAATTTTATTGGTTGATTATTATGTTCCATCCCGACAGAGTGTGCTAGGAATGTAGAGATTAATCAGACCTCCTCTCAGTCAACAAGGCATTTGTGGTGGTGTGGCATCAGATAAGATTGTAACTCTTGGCCGGGCGCGGTGGCTCACGCCTGTAATCCCAGCACTTTGGGAGGCCGAGGCGGGTGGATCATGAGGTCCGGAGATCGAGACCATCCTGGCTAACAAGGTGAAACCCCATCTCTACTAAAAATACAAAAAATTAGCCGGGCGTGGTGGCGGGCACCTGTAGTCCCAGCTACTCGGGAGGCTGAGGCAGGAGAATGGCGTGAACCCAGGAAGCGGAGCTTGCAGTAAGCCGAGATTGCGCCACTGCAGTCCGCAGTCTGGCCTGGGCGACAGAGCGAGACTCTTATCTCAAAAAAAAAAAAAAAAAAAAAAAAAAAAAAAAAAAGATTGTAACTCTTGGTTTGCTTATTCTTTCTGAAGATACAGAATGAATGTGATGAGAGTAGGAAGAAGGTAGCACCCAATCCTATTCCTGGTCATCAAGGATGGTTTCATAGGGATGCCTTTTGAACTTGATGTTGAAGAATGAGAGTAGGCATTAGTGATGATGACTCCTACATCTCAATGGATTCACAGCTCTCCCTGACATAGTGAGTGGGTGCATCTTCCCTCTTCCTCTTTCCATTCCTCTTTTCCCTCCCTTCCCTTCCTTCCTCCCTCCATTCTTCCTTCTGTTCCTCCCTTCCCCCTTCCTTCCTTCCTTCCTCCCTCCCTCCCTCCCTCGGTCCCTCTCTCCCTCCTCCTTCCTTCCTTCCTTCCTTGCTTTTTTCCTTCCTTCCTCCTTTCCTTCAGTAGATTTTACTAAGTCCCATTAGGTACATTCAGTCATGACTTAGGCAAGGTTCTATTTTAGATAACTGTATCAAGAAGATTGAAAACATGGTCTTTGTTTCCATTTAAGTTTCCAGCCTAGTAAGGGTAACAGTCAATAAAATATGAAGAAAGTAATGAATAGGTTGTCATAAATGATAGAAAGAAAACAGATAGTGGGGCATAACAGAGAATAGCAGGCTGGGCATGGTGGCTCAGGCCCTTAATCCCAGCCACTTGGGAGGCTGAGTCAGGAGGATCCCTTGAGCCCAGGAGTTTGAGGATAGTGAGCTATGATTGCACCACTGTACTTCAGTCTGGGTGACAGAATGAGATACTGTTTCTAAAAATAAAATAAAAAAGAACAGCATAAGTTGTTTATTTAGATAGGATCATTTGAGTGAGTGACATTTAATAGGATAAAATAAAATGAAAGGGATCCAGCCAAGTGAAGACCTGAGATAGAGAGAAAGTTCAATGCCAGTGTGTAAGTGAGAAATACTTCCACAAACTGAAAGAATTCCAAGGAGGTTATTGCATGGTATACGGGAGCCAATACTGGAAAGTGAGGCAGGGAGTGCCATTTTGTGAATTATCTTCTAGATTCCTTTTTTTTTGTTTTCCTTTTTATGGAGATGGAGTCTCACTCTATTGCCAGGCAGGAGTCCAGTGGCATGATCTCAGCTCACTGCAACTTCCACCTCCTGGGTTCAAGCAATTCTCCTGCCTCAACCTCCCGAGTAGCTGGGATCACAGGCACCCACCACCACGCCCAGCTAATTTTTGTATTTTTTAGTAGAGATGGGGTTTCACCATGTTGACCAGGCTGGTCTCGAACTCCTGACCTCAGGTGATCCGCCCACCTCAGCCTCTCAAAGTGCTGGGATTACAGGCGTGAGCCGCTGTGCCTGGTCTATCTTCTATATTCTAAAGCATGGAAATGAATGGTATTTTATTCTCTGTTCAGTGGGAATACATTGAAGAAATCATTTTGTATTTTAAATGACCCTGAAGACTTCAGTGTGGTGAACAAAGAGGAGTAAGTCAGGAAAGAAATCAAGAATAAGATCAGTAAGAGGATGTTAGGCCAGGGAATCTACCTTTTCTCCCCTTCTAGAGTCTGCCTGGCTGCTCTACAGTTAGTCATCATCCCCCTGGGGTTATACCTCTACTTTGAAATATTTGTCCTCTCATAAGGACTATGGTGGTCTTCTGAGTCAGAAGGCTATATCTGGCTTCCTATGATGATCCTGAATTTGCGCAGGCCGAGGCTAGTGTGTGTTTGTCTTAGTTTTAATAAAAATGTTTAATATACAAAAATTAAAAATAGAAAAACACATATAGAATAAGGATATAATGAAATAATTTTTTTTGCACAGATGTACAATGTGTTTGTGTTTTAAACTGTTCTGACAAAAAAGATAAAAAGATAAAAACAATTGAAAAGTTTATAAAGGTCGGGCATGGTGGCTCAGGCCTGTAATCCCAGCACTTTGGGAGGCTGAGGCGGGCAGATCACGAGGTCAGGAGATCGAGACCATCCTGGCTAACATGGTGAAACCCTGTCTCTACTAAAAATACAAAAAATTAGCCGGGCGTGGTGACGGCCACCTGTAGTCCCAGCTACTCGGGAGGCTGAGGCAGGAGAATGGCATGAACCCGGGAGGCAGAGCTTGCAGTGAGCCGAGATTGTGCCACTGCACTCCAGCCTGGGCAACAGAGCAAGACTCTGTCTCAAAAAAAAAAAAAAAAAAAGAAAAGTTTATAAAGTAAGGAGTTACAGTATACTGTTTAATTTATTATTAGAAAAATAATGTTTTTAATACATTTGGTGCTGCCTATGTGTGCAGTGTCTGTGAAGTCTGCAGTGGTGTATAGCAATATCCTCGGCCTTCACACTCACTCACCACTCATTCACTAACCCAGAGCAACTTCCAGTCCTGCAAGCTCCCTTCATGGTAAGTGCCGTGTATAGGTGCATAGGTGGACCATTTTTCATCTATTATTTATCTACGGATCTATGTTTTTATTGATACAAAATAATAATACATATTTATGGGGTGCATGTGGTATTTTGATATACACATGCAATGTATAATCATCAAATCAAGGAAATTAGGATATCCATCGCCTCCAACATTTACCATTTCTTTTCATTAGGAATATTCCAAATCTTTTCTTCCAGCTATGTTTAAATATAAATTAAATTGGTTAGCTCTTATATAGTATTTTTTTCTGTACCTTTTCTGTGTTTAGATACACAAACACCATTGTGTTACAATTGCCTACAGTATTTGGTACAGTAATGTGCTGTACAAATTTGTAGCTCAGGAATAATAGGCTAGACCACATAGTCCAGGTGTGTAGTGCGCTCTACCAGCTAGGTTTGTGGAAATACTTTCTATGATGTTCACAAACTGGTAAAATCACCTTAAGGACACATGGCTCAGAATGTATCCCCCTTATTAAGCAACACATGACCATAATTAGTTTCAGAGGAGATTGCGAGGATGAAGCCCACATGGTGGAATTAATGCCCTTGTAAGAAGACGAGGAGACACCAGAGTTTCCTCTCTTTCCTCCATGTGATGACACAGTAAGAAGGTGGCCAACTACAAGCCAAGAAACAGGCCCTCATCAGGAACCTAATCTGCTGTCACCTTGAGGCTTCGCACCTCCAGAGCTGTGAGAAATAAATGTTTGTTGCTTAAGCCACCCAGTCTACAGTTGTTTTTTTTTTTTTGTTATGGCAGCCCGAACACATTAAGACAGCTCTGCACCCTGGCTACCCTTGATTAAAAGCAATGAGAATAGAATCTTCCCTCTGGTCTCTTGAAATCAGCTGTACTCTCCAAATCACTTTTTTATTTCTGCATTGTGGACTTATTTCTTCTTCATTGAGCTTCATCATTAAGTAGCCTCAAAATGCTAGAATCACTAATAGTAGTGTTTTGAACCACGTCCCAACTTTAACTGAGATGCCTCTGCCTTGCATTTATTTATCTGACTCTACCAGGTAGAAAAGCAATCCTAATAGAGACAAGTCAAACCAGGAACAAGACAAGAAGCTCTAGTCACTCTCATTTTAAAAAAAGGTTCAAAGCTCATACTTTCAGGGAGACAATCTCTTTGAGTACTCTTTCTCCCTGTTTCTTTTTTGATTTCATCCTTTTGAAGGAATATATATTCTTTTATATTTTCTATTTTTTTAATCAGTTTTAGGTTCTCACCAAAATTGACTTGAAAATATAAACTGTCCATGTGCCCCTTCCCCCAGTATGCAGGAATGTCCCCTTTTTAGAAAGAAATGGGGGTAATCAGACTACTTCCATTATAGTTATTAGGCAAATATTTTTTTTTTCTAACTACCTATCGGCTAATTTTTTCTAATTAGCAATATCCAAAGGGACATTTTAACCCAGTACCCCCATTTTTCAAAGAGATGTTTTAATTATTTTTCTCCTTCTTTTCTCCTTTTTCCTACTTCCTACTTTGCTCTCTAGAAGTGCAGTTATAACCTTTTACCTCTCCTTCACCAGACACTCCCCACAGGGCAAGTCCATCTAACTTTGTGCTTAGAAGCTCCAAAGCAGAACTTTCTCCCACCAGGAGACTGCCTTGAGAGACAACAGTCAATCTACAACCCAAAGTATGCCTGTTACGAAACTCTCCCCCACCTGGAGAATTTCAGTCACTTTAACAACTCAGTTCTTTCCACAAAGGCATCAGTGGTCACCAGCTCAGCTGCCTGGTAGATAAGGCAGCAAAGTGAGTTACATTGACTCCCCCCCGTGTTTTCCCACAACCATGTGCCGTTCATGCTTTTTAAAAGCACCTGCTTTCTGCTCCATTAGCAAAGTGGCACCCTTAAGGCGGGGAGCCTGCACTTCTTCTCCTTAGCTGGCTTTGGAATAAAAAGTTGCTTTCTTTATACTAGGCCTTGCCCTTATTAATGGACTGCAAGTGGTGAACAACTGAACTTGAGTTTCTGTTACAACATGATTAGAATGGGGTCAAGGAGATACGATTCTGCAGTGCAGGCTTACTGTGCACCTAATACTCTTGTGTGGTCTTTATATGTCCACGTAGAATTTATGTCTGCTTATGTAGAGCTATATGGCTTACCAGGTTCAGTTTCCACTGAACTGAAAATTAGGTCCAATGCCTTTTATTACTAAATACAGAGATTATAATTAAAATGGCAAGTATGCTATCTTCCTTAGGAAAATCTACTGTAGTATTTGGCTCATCAGTGATTTGAGGGTGCTGGTCATGATCAAGTTCTATCTCATAAAGATTAGTACTGCATCTGACAACTGCACAGTACTAAGTGAACTCCCCCGGCCAGGCTTGGGGTTCCCAGCCACTTTGTTTTCTCAGTCCTCACCCCATAAAATTTTAGACGTCTCCTTTTCCTAAAGTGCTTGTGTGGCTTACTGGTTCCAGAATCCTCTGCCTTTGAGTGCCATTTGATTAATAATAGCTAGGAACCATTATGTCAGGAGTAATTCTAATTCATATATAACTTATTTAATTTTTTCAACAACTCCATGTGTTAAGTACTCTTAATATTACAACTTTATTGATGAGGGAACCAAGACATTAAGAGATACAGTTGTGCAAGATAACAGAGCTAGCAAATAACGAAGTGCAAGCTTTCTGATTTTAGAGTTGCTGAACACCAGTATCCACAAAGGTTCAAACCGTGCAGCACTCTTACTTTTTCAAAGCAAACATATCTCACTCAGGGTGAGATTGTGCTTCATGTCAAAATCAATGCACTCATTTAATTCTCAAGAATATCAGTTCTAATTTTGCGTTACTCTCCTGAAGGTTATGAGGCAATAAAATTATAAGGTGTTTCAAGCTACCTTAACTATGATCTCTAAATGACTCAACAATGCAATCATCATTACTCAAACCTATTATTTTTCAATTCCTTGCTTTTTGAAGAATTTTTACAGGCATTGACTCAATTGAAGTTCTTGTTATCCTGGAATGGATGTATGGTATTGTGAAAAGAAAAGAAAATCTTAGGGCCTGGAATTCACTATGCCAAAGGGAAAAGTTAAGCCTGGAAACTGAGTCCTGCAAAACTGCCTCCCATTTTGTTCCTTCGTAGATAGCTGCAAAGATAGAAGGTCATGTACCCACCCAGAGGAACTTCCTCAGCATTTGCTCACAAGGAAATCCCTGTGGTCCCTCTTATCTTTACCCTAAAACAAAGTTCTGTTGAATTTTATCCTGCCAATGTAAATAAACAGCTTATCTTCAAAGGTACAAAACAATAAACACACATGTGTGCATATGTTCATGTCAGCAGTATTCACAATAGCAAAGGGACATGGAATCAACATAAATGCCCATCAATGGTAGACTGGATAAAGAAAATGTACATATACACCACGGATTACCACACAGCCATTAAAAGAATGAGATTATGTCCTTTGCAGCAACATGGTTCGAGATGGACGCCATCATCCTAAGTGAACTAATGCAGGAACAGAAAATGAAATACCTTATGTTCTCACTTGCAAGTGGGAGCTAAACATCGAGTTCATATGACACAACGAAGGGACACCAGGGCCTATTTAAGGGTGGAGTGTGGGAGGAGGGTGAGGATCAAAAACATACCTACTGAATACTTTGCTTATTACCTGGTTGATAAAATAAGCTATACACCAAACCACCACAACACAACAATTTACCTATATAGCAAACCTGCACATGTACCCCTGAACCTAAAATAAACCTGCACATGTACCCCTGGACCTGAAATAAAAGCTAGAAAAATGTTTTTAAAAAATACAATGATGGCTGGGTACAGTGGCTCACACCTATAATCCCAACACTTTGGGAGACTGAGGCAGGCAGTCAGATCACCTGACTTCAGGAGTTCGAGACCAGCCTGGCCAACATGGCAAAACCCTGTCTCTACTAAAAGTACAAAAATTAGCCAGGCATGGTGGCAGGCTCCTGTAATCCCAGCTACTCAGGAGGCTGAGGCAGGAGAATAGCTTGAACCCGGGAGGCAGAGTTTGCACTGAGCCGAGATTGTGCCTCTCCACTCCAGCCTGGGCGACAAGAGCGAGACTCCGTCTCAAAAAGAAAAAAAAAAATACCATGAAGCACAATCTAAAAAAAGGTACAGGACAAAGACAGGACTAGAAGTCATCCCTCCACTCATCTGAAACAATTGCGTATGTGACTGCTTCCTCTACTCTGTTTATTTCACCTTGTATGAAAAATACAGATTCACTGAGTGCAAGGCTAATTCATAGTTGACTGTTCTTCTTCCCCCATTCACATGTAAAATGTGAATTCGGTGAATGCGGATCAAAGCCTCAAAATAATACAACCACTTGTCTCTTTTACCAACCCACCCCAACTTGTTCTTTCCTCTTTTCCCTACTGTCCATTCTTTCCCCTTTAAATACTCAAGTCCTCAAACCCTCTTTGAAGAAAGCACTGATCACAGGTGTTCCTGCAATTTTTTGTTCCTTTTTCCCAGTCATGTTCTCCACCTTTGCAAAATTAACCTCTAAATTGATTGAAACTTGCCTCGGTAATTTTCTCTGGTTTTACAGTAGATGTGATTATACCCATTAGACTTATGAGGCCACTGCTCCCAAGGGACATTATGGAATATGGGAAGTCACAGTAATTGCTTTTTACAGGAATGACAAATAAGTAAATCTTGGGCTGCCACATACCCCCTTCATCATATCTCCTCCCCATGCTCCTGACAGACATCACTAATTCATCACGGAATTCCTCTGCTGAGCCCAGATTGCTGTGTCCTTTAAACCTAATACCAATTAAGTAAGTAGTAAAACCAACATTTGCACCTACTGCTCTTTGAATCCAATGTTCTTTCATGAAAAATGGCAAAATCGAATCTAGACTGCAGGTGTTTGCTCACCCAGAACCTTGTATTGGTGTCTATTTTATGGAATAGAAATTTCAGCTAATATGAAAAGGCACACTCAATCTTAATTTATAATTATTGCCTGGAATTTGAAAAAGAATAGAATATTGAGGAGAAGAAGCCTATTCTTTTAAGTATCAGATGTGTTTCATCTATGCTTAAGTTATTATATATCATCAATTTGCATGATTTCTAATAACCACATATCTGTTTATGGGACTTAGGATTTTTAAAAATAGGGCACTATGAAACTTCAAGACAAAATCCAGCAGATTTTAGTTGGTGACTGGGAGTCAGTGATAATGTCAATAAAGCTCAATGAGACGTAATGTTCTGAAACATGCAGAGAAAATTCTCACCAAGGGAGACATGATCTCTAGATTCTAAGAAACATATTAAAGACAACCTAATTAAAGTCTTCTCTGGGTTAATGTAGCCATGATGATGGCAGCTCTATCTCTACCTGTCTCCACCCCTAGGGCTGTGGAGACCAAGGGTAAAAACTAGCTAATGCATTACACACTGACTGTATACCAGGCGCTGTGCCATTCCTTTAGTACAAAGAACAGTTCAGGTGTGATCCATATCTCAGGCACAAATGATGAATTGTTTCAAAAGGACACATAGCAGAAAGCTCAGACATCACAGATTTTTTAGGCTTGAGTCTGCAATCCAGTGTAAGATGACCTGTAACTGCTAAAACGAAGAACGGAGGAGAACTAAGTAATAGTCATCTCTAAAACAGGGTACGTTTATTAAAGAAGTGTTTATTTCCTTTTGGGGAAGAGAGGTTTTTCCTTTGTTGTTGTTTTGCTTGTTTTGCTTTTGTGTTTGGGGTGGATTGTGGAGTAATATCTTTTCTTACACACAGTATAAGAAATAATAACTTTTACCTTCTTCATTGCATCTATTGATGTATGGAAAACATAAATTTATTTTTCTAATCTCAATATATCCCACTTAATCCCTTTGAAAATGTCCCCACATCATTATTTTTTAGTCTACTTATTTTCTGTTTCAAAGCTCACATCAATTATAGTTATGACAAAAAAACCTTCCATAGCTTCTTATGACAAATACCGCAAAATATCTTCTAATAACATCCTGCACACCCTCTTATTAACATTCATAACTAATATAGTGTTCCATTTAGATTACTGATTTTTTTTTTTTTTTTGAGACAGAGTTTCGCTCTGTCGCCCAGGCTGGAGTGCAGTGGCGCGATCTCGACTCACTGCAAGCTCCGCCTCCCGGGTTCACGCCATTCTCCTGCCTCAGCCTCCCGTGTAGCTGGGACTACAGGCGCGCGCCACCATGCCCGGCTAATTTTTGTATTTTTAGTAGAGACGGGGTTTCACCGTGTTAGCCAGGATGGTCTCGATCTCCTGACCTCGTGATCCGCCCGTCTCGGCCTCCCAAAGTGCTGGGATTACAGGCGTGAGCCACCGCGCCTGGCTTACTGATTATTAATTATTTCATTAGCAGCTGCCTTTTTTGGTACCATGTCACTTTCATGGAAAAAGGGGGTATCTACTCTGTTCATATTTGTTTCCTAAATATCCAGTAGGGTGCCTGACATATAGTAATTCTTAGTTGTGAAAACAAAAAGTTGATTAAAAACAAATGTACTATTTTATAGCTAAGGAAATAGGCTCAATATAATTACACAACATTCTACCAAAGAATTCATAAATGGCAGAAACTGATTTAGAACCCAAGTTTTGCCAGAGTTTAAAAGATCTATCACCTATCTATCTATCTATCTATCTATCTATCTAACCCACCATCTATCCATCTATTTATCTATCTGTCTGTCTGTTTATCCACACCTGTGGAGGTGCGTATAGGTGGAGTCAATATTTCCAAACCCCTTGCAGTGAGCCCAGGACCGTGCAACTGACTTTTTGTCCTATGGGATGTGGTTGGAAATGATGCTCTTTAATTTCAGAACAAGCCCTAAAATGTCCCCGCAAACTCTGTCATTCTCTCTCTCATGTCTTTGCTGCTGAAAACACGTCACCTTAAGATGACAACATTCGTGGATGTAAGGAGGTCAGATTCTTTTGTCAATATTACAGCACAGTTCCCTCAGAGAGTGCTTGAGCACAGCAGACCTTGACGTCAGCAAGAAAGGCACATGTGCTATGCCAAACTACTCAAAGTCCAGGCATTAGTTGTGGCCATTCCTGAATTAATCTATTCTGACAAATTCACATACTTTATAGGTAGGATAGTGATTAGAACCAAATGACGCTTGAATTGAAAGGTCTCTGAGAATCATAGAAGGATCAATTCATTAAAATGTGATTTTAAAAATAACATGTATGAGGTTTAATCACCTAACAATAATTCACTATGTTTCAAAGGTATGGGAGTTGGGGAGGTCAAACAAATATAATTATTGAAAACTAATCACAAAACCTTGTAAGCAGGGAATCTTGAGGTCAATCTATGGAATGCTTTTGTGGGCCATTTTAGTATGAACAAAAGGGAGCCAGCTGCCTAACAACAATGCTGAGCCATATGGATTATCAAGTCAGTCTTAGGCATGACGTGATTTTCTCCCACTGTTTATTTTCATACAATGAACATTTTTTCTTTTTCTGCAAAACCCCATCGTCTCCTTGTACCCTACAGAAAAAAAATGCTTCACATTGTAAAATAATAGACTTCCAAATGGAAAAATATCTTATTTATTTGTGTAAATGTATGGTAGACAAGTGTAATTTTATTACATGCATAGGTTGTATCCTGGTGAAATCAGGAGTCTTAGGATATCCATCATGCAAATAGTATACACTGTACCCATTAAGTAATGAATCCCCTTAGAGATACAGGGACTAAAACCTTGGAAGGAACGTGGGGGAGGGTGCTGAACATCTTATGTATTCTGACTTTGTGTCAGGTACTTTACCAAGCCTTGGGAAATAATTTTACCAAAATCATGCAGCTAGTGAATAACATATGTGGGACTCAAAAATAGTCCTTTCAGCCATTCCCTGCACATTAACATGGAGCACAAGAAACAGAAACATTTCTGAGAATGGAACTGCTGTTTTAAGCATTGAGGGGAATGCTGGCAGTCAGTATATTTGAAATGACAGCCCCACTTCATCAATATATGTTTTAGTCCTGTATAGAAGTAGAGGTTGATCATTAACCTATGCATCAACTACTTATTTAGAATAATTTAACAAACATGGTGAGTCAGGTGGCCACAGTTCATCTAATAAGTGATAGAGTTGGGGGCAAACACAGGCGTGTCCAGCTTAAAATTCTGAACTATTTCTGTCATGCAGAATAGCTGAGAAACTAGTTGGCAGTATATATAAGACACATGTTAAAATTAAGTAGGGGTGCAACTTAGGTGTGGTATAACAATTCCTGGGGAATTGTGACCCATCCAGACTGTTTCTGTCACCAAGGGTATGGTGTGGAGAACTAAGCGAACTCAGAGGTCATTTCTTCAAGTGAGCGCTGGAGATACCGTCTTCCTCCCAATGACATTGTAATAGGCCCTTTAATTATCAAAGCTACCTCGTGTGTTCCTCTAACTTGTAGTTTCCTTGTGTCTGACCTATGGCTTCTTGAGTCAATTGTCCTGGGCACAGAATCAACTTCAATATTACTTTGCTGGCATACATGAATTGCTTCATTTAAAACTGCTGAATGGAAAGGGTTTGAGAAATTCATGGACCTCTTGTCAAACTTCTCTCCTGCTGAATCCACTGTTTTGGTTGCACTACTTACATTAGTTTGAGTTACAAAAGTTGACTTCTATAATACAAAATGGTTCCAAGTTATGAAATTCTTAGTAAACTAAGGTTGCAGGCTACTGGCGAAAAAGGCCCATCTTAGAAGGCTATATATTTTTTTCTCTCTGTGTCTAGCTCTCTCACCACATACCTAATCTGATATCTCTGTTGTACAGCATTGCTGACAACTATAAGAAACTTAAATATCCATTATTATGCTTTTTTTTTCCTTTCCCCTAATATTACAGCCTCAGATGGGATGTGGTGTTAGTCTCAATGTGCAGTCGCAGATATTTTAATTAAATGCTTCCTCCTCTATAACCAGGGTCAACTACTTTTAGCCCACTGCATTAGTTTTCTGTTGCTTCATAACAAATTATCGCAATCTAGCAGCTTAAAATATATCTCACGGTTTCCATGGATTCGGAGAACAGGATGGCATGGCTGGGTTCTCTGCTTAGGGTCTCACAGAGGTGAAATTGAGATGCTGGCAGAGCATGTGGTTCTTATTTGAGACTCAAGGTCTTTTCCAAGCTCACCAATTGTTGGAAACATTAATTTCGTTGCAGCTATTGACTGAGGTTGCATTTTCCTGGTGGCTGTTGGCCAGGGACTGTCTCTCATATCAATAAAGCTGCCTAATGATGTGGCTCCCATAGTAGTTCCAAACATGCTTTTTAAAATTTTTTTATTTTTTTAACTTCTAGACACATCTCTCTGACTTTCTCTTCTTTAGCCATCCAGAGAAAACTCTCTGCTTTTAAAAGGTTCACGTAACTAAGTTAGACCCATTTAGATAGTCTTTCTAATTTTAGGTCATTTGATTAGGGAACTTCATTATGTCTGCAAAACCTCTTCACAGCGGTACCTCGGTTAGTGATGGACTGAATAACAGAGTGGGTATGAGTACACCAAGAGGCAGGAACCTTGGGGGTCAAGCGGGAATCCTGTCTAACATGCCTGCAAGTGTTGGATTCTTATCTCCTGCTATAACTATATTTGCTAATTAGTCAAATCCTTATCCTTGGGTCTGTAACTTGCAGTGCCCCAGTCACTTTGAGTGTGAAATTCCGTTTCAGCTAAAATTACTTTTTGCTGCAAGTAACAGAATATCAATTTATAATGTTTAAGTAGTCAAGGTATTAGCCATCTGAAGTCAAAGGCTTTCTGAGGGTAGGTGGCCATAGTGCTGGCTCAGCAGCTCAGTAATGCAATCAGAGAATAGATGCGCTCCCTCTTTATTCTTTACTACGTCCAGGCATTACATTTGCTGCCTGTGTGCTTCTTGCATTATGAAAAAAAAAAAGGTCTCTGTTATTCTTTATAACCGTTGTGCAGACAACAAAACAGGAAAGAAGAATCAGAGGCAAAAAGATTTTCTCCTTGTAAGATTCCATGCTTTTATAAAGAAAACAAACTCTCTCTGAAGGGTTCCTGTAACCCCTGCATACTGCCCTTCGTATCTGGGTCACACGACTACCTTAGTACAATAAAGGCTTGGACTGCTAATGACTGGCCATATGGCAGTGGGCAGGAAAGTCAAAGTTTTGTTAGCAAGGGAAGAGGGAAATGACCGAAGTATGCCAACCTCCAGTGCTCTCAGAAATTTTCTCCAACTGAGCACTTTAATTGGCTGAAGCATGTTGTGTGCCAGTTTTCTAGGTTGATAGTGTAGCAGAAGCTCCTGACTCATGTTACCATTGGGATAATTAGATGGGCTAGTATATTTTAAATATTTGAAACAGTTTCTGGCACTAACATTAGCTATGAATAATGTTATTGTCTCCATTCCCTCAGAAGTAGAAGGTTTAAGAACGCGAAAGAGGGAAGAAGCAATAGATTTGTAATACTCAAGGAATATGAGAGGGATTTAGATTGCAATCCCCCAAAGACACAGAACATATATGCCTTCATCTATTCATGAACTTTTTCAACAACAGATACACATTATGCCTGAATATTTGAATGGTAAGGTTAAGATCTGATTTCATGCCAAGGAAGGAGTCAAATTAAATGTAGAATAAATAAAATTAATGGGTCACCAAATCCCCAAACTCTACCAAAGTCAAACCATCATATCAAGTTATCCAGAGCAGAAGAGATAATGCGAGAAGAGAAAAAAGAAGTGAGTGGCATCAAATGCCATAGACAGCTTCAGTTGTATTTTGGATAAGAGCCACCACAGGTTATGACCAAGAAAGCAGAACTTGGGAGCTTGAGTTTCCAGCATGTTTCGATGCAGTTAATTTTAATGATTAGATATCACAATTTCTCTTTTTTAGGACTCCAGGAGAAACTTACAGACATTCTAGGAGTGGTTGAGCTTTTTAAAGAAGACTTACTCACTATGGATTAATGAAGCATATTTTGGAACCATAAAATAAACTAAAAAATTACATCCCTGTTTTAATTACAGAGCCACTAGAAAGGAAGAAAACATTCATAAATTTGGAACTAGGCAAGCTAACTTTTTGATCTAAGGTCTACCAGGACAATGTGTGAAAGCCAGATCCTTGCTTTGTCACCCATGGCTTGCATGATGACCCTGCTCAAGTTATTTAATTTCTATGAACCTCAGTGATCTCATCTGTAAAAGAGGGTTAGTGTCAGTGTCCATATCATAGGACTGATGTGAGGATTTTACCATTAAATTCAGAAAGCATTTAATAGAATCTGTCACTTCATGAATACTTAGTAAATGTTAACAAATATTAACCAAGCCTCTAGCATGTGTCTTAGGTCCCATATTTGTAAACTGAAGGTGTTTATAATACCTCATCCAGCTGTGATGTTTAATATGATGAGGAATAAGTTCATAAACACATGCAAAACCTTGAACAGAGACTAACAAAAGTAGTGAATCAAAACCCAGTAGCTATTATCTGTATCTTCTTGCAGATCAAGTAGTGGAGCATAACATTGAGATACAGCTCTCATTTTCCCTTATAATTATTTTATTATGAATACTTAAGCAATGAAATTTATCTTCCCCTGAGGTGATGTGGATGGATTTAAGTTCATTGCAAGGCCAGCATAACTTTTCAAATATCTAAAATTAAATAGTAGTGAAATCACCTTTTAAATGTGAAAGATGGCTAGTGCTAAAATATCAACAATGAGCTCTCTGCAATCTTTGGTTATTTCCCAGAAGATATTGGAGTGAGTAGGCTGGAGATAGTGTTTCTGTTTTTAGATAGTTTCATACTTGATCTTCCCTTTTATTTCAGAGTTACTAATTAAGTAAAATGCTAATAAAGTACTTAACATTTCTGGCCATGAAAATGAAAGAGGGAACTACATTTTAAACTTCTTTGAATGTCTCAGGGAGCTCCACTAACATTTGTTAAACCCCTTATCTTTTTATCATAAGCATTCAATGGTCTTTAGGAAATGAATATAATTATTTCTCATTGAATTTTTGACATTGAAACACCTAAAGAAGTGCTTGCAAGCAACCACCTACATCCTCTCAGATTTCAGAACTTTCTCCCTCAATTCACCCAGGGCTTTCTTTGCATTTATTCATCTCTCTGCAGTTCAGACGAGCGAACATTAATTAAATAGTCACTGCTTAATAGTGTGTGGTAGAAAGAGGATGTGGTTTGAAGCCAGTCAGAGCTACAATCAAACCCTCCTGTGCTCTAACTCTATGACTTTAGGGATTACATGGAGGGGAGTGATGGAAGGTGGAGTCAACTTACATAAAATGCATAGCAGAGGCTCTGGCATCTAATCCTCCCTAGTCATTGTAACTAATTTTATGAATGCTTTTTGTGTATATGATAGATACTCTTACTTACCAATTTCACAGGACGATATATCTAAATTGTTCTTTTCCTGACATTATGATTTAGCTTATTGAACTTTCCTTCTTCTTTCAATTTTCTTGTCTCCACCTTCTACTTCCAACCACCATCACTCCATATGATGGGTGCAGTTATACAGAGTTGGAGTGCAGAAGAAAGTATTGAATTGTAAGACAAAAAATCTGCTGAAAGATTGAGAAAAGGACTAAAAGTCCTATTAGCAATCTGTGGTAGACAATCTTGGTGTGTCTAATATTTCCAAGATGCATGGAAGACTACCTTTCTCATCCCCTTTCCTTAACGGGGTTCCATGTAAACAGTTCCCAGCAATTGATGATATCAGGAAGTAATGGGTGCCATTTCCAAGCTGAAACATTGAAAAGCTGGTGCTCAATTCTTCATGTTTCTTTTTCGTGATACAGCAATTATGAAAGGATGGTTGGGATTGAAAAGCCACAAGTTTGAAGCATCCACTCTCACAGAGCCAGGATAATCAGGAAGCTTGATTGCAAGTTGACAGAACATGCTGCAGACATTGTTAGCACAATAAATAAGCTTTTGTTGTTGATATGGTTTGGCTGTGTCCCCATCCAAATCTCACCTTGAATTGTACTTCCCATAATTCCCACATGTCATGGGAGGGACCCCATGGGAGCTAATTGAATCATGGGGGCAGGTCTTGCCCATGCTGTTCTCACGAAACTGAATAAGTTTCATGAGATCCGATTGTTTTGTAAAAGGGAGTTCCCCTGCACGCACTCTCTTCCTTGCTGCCATGCAAGACGTTAGTTACTTTGCTCCTCGTTTGCCTTCCGCAGTGATTGTGAGGCCTCCCCAGCCACGTGAAACTCTGAGTCAATTAAACCTCTTTCTTTTATAAATTACCCAGTCTCAGGTATGTCTTTATTAGCAGCATGAAAACAGACTAATATAGTTGCGTTAGACTATTAGGTTGGTGCCCTGTGCTATTTTGTAACAGCCTACCTCTCCTGACTGATGTATCCCCTCTGCAAGGACTGGAGGATGTTAGCCTCCAGACATCTAGCACTTCAAAAAAAAAAAAAAAAGCATTGACCTCTCACTGATGTTAGGAGAAAGAAGTTGTTTCTATTATCCTTGATAGGAACTAGCAGAATAACAGATGCCTGGTATGTGAGCAGGAAGGAAGAGTGTATACACCTGGTTTGAGTTGACTAAAATACATTGTGCACTGAGGAAACACCCCGGGGATTCCCAGAGCTTGTCTGCTTTCCACAAAGTTTGTTGTTGTCAAGCAGGATTATGCTCTTTAGAAATTGTTCTCATACAATCAAACATTTGGTGTGGCAGGATCCTTGAGGAATTAAATCTTTTCACCAGCAGGAGGAATAGTAACTCTTAAGCAAGACAATGGCTTCAAAGAAAGGAATGCTCCTGTGAGAATGCTTTAGGGAGATAATTACTATGTGACTATATATAAATTTGATTACTGTTGTTTAACTTATGTTTTTAGAGCATATTTTAGCATTTATTTATTTATTAAAAGTATATTTGCCTGAGTTGTACCTGCATCTGTAACACTTAGCAGCCTGAAGATTTTGCCCTGAATTTCTTTTTATGTTCC
This sequence comes from Homo sapiens, assembly GCF_000001405.40. NCBI lineage: Eukaryota > Metazoa > Chordata > Mammalia > Primates > Hominidae > Homo > Homo sapiens. The sequence goes on along the minus strand of NC_000008.11, from coordinate 137,788,791 downwards.
TAAATTGTTGAAAACTCCATTATGCAGAAACTATGATAACCTTTTAAGGCCTTTCCTTTAAAGGTTAACAGAGCCCTAAGCCCACGGCTTCCCTTTTCTTTCTCCTAGACCTTTTTCTAGTCTCTTTCTTGCAAGGGAGTATCATTTGTTGGTGGTGGTCTTGTCTATTAGCGAGTTTTGCACGCTGTGTTGGAAAGTAAATCAAACCCACATTTCAAAGCCAGCACATGATCACTCCAGCCAAATAACTACACTGTATTCCCGGGGATTAAGCCTTCTCTGAAGTTCATGTTTCTCTTCTGGAGAACAAGACTAAATAGGGAACTTAAAAGATTCCGTTTGTCATCCCTTTATGAGCCTAGATTAAAAACTAGCCGTAAGAGAACCTTCCCTCACCCCTTCCCCAGCATATTTTTAGCTCTTTAGATGTTATCCTAGTTTAAGTCATCCCCAGGTTAAAATTTTGCTAGTTAAATGTTCCTTCTTTCCCTCCCCTATTCCTTCCTTCCTTCCTTCCTTTGTCTTCCACAAATATGTTTCTGACTGTCATTGTGTGCCTGCCACTGTCATAGATAAAAATTTGGCATTGAAAAAGTTGGATTAAGTGTCCCCGTAGTTCATATATTCATAGTTCACATAGTGAGGGAACCAGACATAAGTCCATGAAGACACTAAATCAGAGTAAAGTAGGTTGGTCAAGGAAGTTTCATTTAGAGGAAATGACATTGATCAAGCTGGAACCTGAAAGTTGAGAAAGGAGGGGCCATGGAAAGATCTAAGGAAAATCATGTTTATCTTCTTGGAGAGACCAGAATATGCCTTCCCAAAATATGAAGTGTTGATGAGCTGAGGACAATTAAGAAGACACAAGAAAGCTCTCTGCCCTCCCTCTATTTGCCTAAAAGCAGAACTTAGATTTACAAAGACAAAAGAGATCCACCCCTCCTCTGTCAGGGGAAACAAAGATAACTACTGAAGACAACTTTGAACCCTCATACACCTGGCAATGGGACCAGAGGTATCTATGTTAACAAGCTTCACTAACCAGCCTTTATCTGCCAGTTATCTGCCTTCTCTCAATTTGTTGCCCCTAGAGACTCAAAGTTCTTTTCCTTTATCTTGTCACTTCTCTAAAAATATATTGTTCTTTGTTAACGATGCCATATAAACTTGAATTCAAAGTTACCTCTTTGAGGACTACTCATTCTCTGGGTGTCCTCCATGTATATGTGAAATGTACATGTTAGTGAACTTTTGTTTGATTTTTTCTTGTTAACCTGTCTTTTGTAATGGGGATCCTTCCAGCTAAAAATGTATGTGGATTATTCTTCTCCAACACTTCTTTTACAGAAGAAGAAAGAAAATAAGAAGGTAGAAGAACTCTTATTGTCATCTTCTGAAAGAGATTTATCTTCTTTTACCAATCCCAAGTTTATGAGAAAAGAAAAAGGGGGAGCAAAAACCAGGGCATGTCCTTGACATGGGGAAAGGGCTTCTGGTTCTGAGGCTGTCATAGAGAAGAGGACAGTGGATAGGACACTTCTGCTCACCAACAATGATTCCTTCTTGAGAGGTAGCTTTGTGGTTTGGCCACATGAACATCCAGTGGCAAGGCAGCCACTTTTAATTGTAGCATTTAGCTGGAAACAAACTAACCCATATGGGAAAGTTTCATTTCATATGATTTTGGTGATACTCAATGTAATTTGTTCATTTCATATGATTTTAGTGATACTCAATGTAACTTGTAAAAAAAAAAAAGTATAAAATTGGTATTTGGTGTTATCTCCATTCTATTTTAATAGATTTTCTTTTTTTTTTCCTTTATGGAAAGTATTTCAGAACCACAGCTGCATTATTTGCATACCACATGGAAATAAACCCTGAAAAACAACAACAAAAAGCCTTAAAATAATTTTTATAGGGATGCATTTTCCTTATAAGAAGTGTTTAATAGGAGTTGTTAAAACAAGTTAGACTAGAGTGGGAAGAAAATGCATCCACGCGTCCTTGAGTACAGGGAAATAATGCATTATTCCATCAAGATGAAAGTCACAGTACTTTAGAAAGGACTTCAGATACAGGGAACTTAGGTAAACATGAGATGAAATGAAAAGGAAGAAAGTCCCTCTTTCAGTATCCAGTGTTAATACGTGTCATACGGCTAAAAAAGAAAGTTTAATATTAGAACCACTACTAATAAAAATAATGATAATAATAATCACAGAGCATGATTAATGAGCTAAGGGGTATATTCATATTTTAATATAATTCAACATATATTTGATTGAACATGCTAAGTACTAGACTCTACCTTACATGCAAAGACTATTGCAGTGAACGAGAATATTCGTTTTCAACCTCATGCAGTTTATGGTCTTAATGGACATTCACACAAATAAAGACAGTGGGCTAAGTTTCAAGAAGAAACAATAAAAAAGGAAAATTGAAGTGGGGTGAATGTTACATAAGGGGACTTAACATCAAATGTGAATAATCAGATTAAGGCCTTCCTGACCAAAGAACCGAAGAATATTGAATTTTAACTGGAAGGATGAACAGAAGTGTGGGGTGTGGAAAGTTTTGGGAGTGAGGGGATGTAGAGGAACTCAAACCTAGTAATTTAAAATTATGGGACTCAGGGGCTAGATCCTGGCAGGACAAACACACCTAATAGAGTATTTTTCAAACTTTATTCTAAAGGCAGAGAAGTCATAAACAAGGTAATGATGTGGCATGGTGAGATTTACATTTTAAAAAGATCCATCTGGCTCCAGAGTAATTTGCCCATGACAAGGGAGGCTGATATTATGTAGGAAAGAAGAATGAAGTACAATTTATGTATCTCAAGGCAGTTAACTCAGGAATGACCAAAGCTGAAGGAATGGCAATTATGCAACATGGTTCAGGCTTGAAAGGAGACTGACAGTCTTACAAGTGAACCTAAAAGGTGGTGCATGATTTCATGGAATTTACTCAGGTGGGTGTCATAACTTGTAGGACGTTGATGTATTTTTTGTTTGTTTGTTTGTTTGTTTTTGTTTGTTTTTATAGTCATCAATCGAGGGTTTTATTTCAGTATCATGTGAATACTAATTGCACATCTTTAGGAATTCTTTTTATTGTTATGAACCTTTTCTGCCTGCCACAGTAGTTGTGGAGTCTAAGCATTTTAAGACGTGGAGTGTAAATTAGCAGATATATATTGTTTTTGATGATTAAGAGCCCATATTCTGCAAGTGTAATAGTCATTTGGAGAAACTGGCAGTGACTAATATCCAGTGGAGTGTACTCTAACAGATTCTATGGGATAGCTATTTTTCAAATCCTCTGCTTGTTCCTTAATTGAACTTACCTGTCAATATCATAGGGATATATTTGATCATCATATGCCTTTTACAAACCAGCAATCTACAGAAGAGTGGGGAGGAGTGTCCTGCCTATGTTTCTGCAGAAGGAGAAAGATCTCAATTTCCTTGATCATCTAGACTGTGCCAGAAAAGGATTTCCTTATAGAAAATCTTAAAGGTACATATAATTATCTATATTTTACAATGAAGGAAATCAGGACTCAGAAAGTTTAAGTAACTTATCCATAGTCTTACATATAATAAACTGGCAAGCATAATTACAAAACCAAGTTATTGGACTCTAAGTTTTCATTATGTTTATTAAAAATCTAAACCTATTTCCATGTATTAGTTTTTACTTATATTCAGAATGAATTCTGCTATATTTAAGCAAAAATATAATGATAATAGCTAGTACTTATATATATATATCATTTACTAAGCCCCAAACACACACACACACACACACACACACACACACACACACACACACATAATATAGTTTTAAATTATGTTTTAGAGTATATTTTAGAATTTATTATATATATACATGTACATGTATGCATACATATATATGTATGTAATTTAATCTTCACAATGGGCCGGAAGGGTTGCACATTTTCACAGCCATTTGAATATGAGGAAGCTGAGTTGGAGTGAAGTTAATTGGTTTGCACAAAGTTACACTCCTAGAAACAGAAGAGTTGGGAGTAGTGGAACCCAACTGGAGCCTCTGCTCTTAGCTGCTATGCTACACTGCTCTCTGTGCCGGAGTGTTCTATCAAGGGTGGGGTGTGTTCTATCCAGGGAATGTAAGAGTCAACTCAATCCACCATACATGAGAGATGCCAAGTGGAAACAAGTCAGGCCTATGGGCTCACCTTCTTCTCATCACCAAAACCACAGGTCATAGAGATTTAGTTGCACCCAAGGTAGCTCTCTCACAGAATAAGTCAGAATCCAGCACACTACTAGGACCTCGTCTATTTCTTTCATCCAATTTCAGAAAAGTAGAAATGCAGTACAAAGCCTGTTTTTTTTTTAAATTTCTTTGTTTTAGAGTCATCTCTATTTGATTTGGGATTATATCCTGGCTTTGCCACTTACAGCCATGGAACTTTGGACAAATTACTTTCTGTTTCTCATATCCCACATGACTACAATGGGAATTATTTCATTCTCTAATGAGTTTAGCGAATTAGGTGAGTTCATATTCATTAAGCATTGACAAGGGTACCAGGTATTAAACAAATGGTAGCTGGTATTAAACAAAGATTCATGGCAAATATCAAACAAATGCTATATATGTGTTTTATTTTATCTCATCTGAGAGTGGACTGTAAACTTATCTTCTATGTACCTAGCCTCTTATCAAATGCCATTTCTCACTTTCCTTAAATCACAGGTGAGGAGCTTGTCCTGGGAAAGGTCCTATGACTTGAGCAGATCAAAGGGCTATTAAGGGTCCATGCTAGGATATCAGTGCAGGTTCTTAGGGAAATATCTGGTATCCTTTTACATGTTAATAATGGTATCTCAGGCCTCTTTAATATACTGTCACAGGAGCATGTAGAAAAACTGCATTTTATCACAAGCAGCATGGCTGGTGAGTACTCCACTAGATAGCAGCTTCTGCGTGGTCAATAGCCAAGTTTCTCAATCCAGTTTATTAATTCTCACTTTGAAATCATTTGCCACACCCACATTAGTTACATGTTTCAATTTCCCTTATAACCACAACAAGTGGCTTCTGAAGTTTGTCTATGACACTCATAGCAGGTGGCCCTCAGTTGTGGTTTTTCCAAGACTGAAAGAAAGGCTCATTATCTATAAAGGGAGTTCTATCTAGGCAATGTAAGATAGTCAACTCAATCCACCATACATGAGAGACGCCAACTGGGGTCTTAGATGGTAACAAAGCAACACGTCTCTGCCAAATGTCAGTGCATGACAGTGGGCAAGTCACTCTACCCTCTGTACTTTCGTTTTCTCAACTATGAAAGAGGGGCATCTGCCCTTTCTCCCTCACAGGGTCTTATGGGGGGGTCCGATAATCTGTGTCACTCATTAAACAAACATGTTTTTGTCTATGTGCACTTTCAACTTTGTTTCAGGAACTGCCTATGGCAGTGGAGAGATAATTAAAATAAAAACATGATTCCTGCTCTTAAGAAGTGCATAAATTAGTTGGAGATTCTCATTAACCTTACCCTGGTTTCTCCTCAAAGATTCATGGCAAATATCATCATGTTCTGCATTTTGCCTTCATGTTTATTTAAAGAAAAGTAAGATTTTATTTCTCACCCTGCATACTAAAAAGCACATCCTGATACTTTTCACATTTTATTTATTTATTTATTTATTTATTTATTTATTTATTTATTTATTTATTTTGAAGAGTCTCGCTCTGTTACCCAGGCTGGAGTACAGTGGTGCGATCTCGGCTCGGTGCAACCTCCGCCTCCCAGGTTCAAGTAATTCTCCTGCCTCAGCCTCCCAAGTAGCTGGGACTACAGGTGCACGCCACCATGCTCAGCTAATTTTTGTAATTTTAGTAGAGACAAGGTTTCACCATATTGGTCAGGCTGGTCTCAAACTCCTGACCTCAGGTGATCCACCCACCTTGGCCTCCCAAAGGGCTGGGATTACAGGCATGAGCCACTGCGCCCAGCCTAATTTTTTTTTAAAAAACTCACATGGATTCACTTTGTTTTTTAATATATGCATAAGCAAGATAAATAACTGGCCATTTCTACACAGTCATCCCTACTGAACCAAGACAGAGGACCTTCGTTGTTGTTTGTCACTGTTGTTGTTGCCGTTGCTGCTTTGCCTAACCATTACAGAAGGGATAGAAAGGCAAGATGCTTCTCTACCCATGAGAGATGTGGTAGAGGGGTGGGACAGACAGACCACACTGCACAGTGGGAGGGTCAGATGGTTCACTCTTGGGTTAGGACAAGCAGACATGAAGGATAAGCACAGTCCACAGTGGGAGGGTCAGATGGTGCCCTCTTGGGTTAGGACAATCAGGCATGAAGGACATGCACACTGCACAGCAGGAAGGTCAAATGGTGCACGCTTGGGTTAGGACAAGCAGACATTAAGGATACGCCCACTGCACAATGGGAGAGTCAGATGGTGCCCTCTTGGTTTAGGACAAAAAGACACTAAGGGCAATCACACTGACGTATACCAAGTAGAGAGAAGGAGAGAGCAGGGAGAAGAAGCCGCAATGCAGCACATGATGTGGTTCCTTCTGTATTTGGATTTCTTTTTTTGTGTGAAAAATGATGAGGACACTGGCTATGTCTTCAGGTCTGTTGGTGGTGTGATCTGATACAGCACATGGAATAATAAGGGGACAACCTGAGGGAAGAGAAACAGACTATAAAGATGAGGCATTGTTATCATCCCTGTGGACTGCAGAGTATAGCTATTTGAAATGAAGAGCAGCAAACATTTAAGCAGAGTGCATTTCAAATTGTTTCAGTCTTGGAAGTCAACATTTCTTTGGTAAATAGTCAGAGGAAAGGCTTGGCGCATTTCATTATTGGAATATAACTAAGTCCTATTGCTTTACATTTAGATAAGGCAAGTGGGACACAGCAAAGTCAAGTGACTTCCCTCGGGAGGCATGTGGCTGGTCAATTCCACAGTCATGGCAAGAAATGAGATTCCTATTTTCCCAGTCCAGAGTTCTCTTACTGTGAAAATTTTTTCTTAATCTTTAGCATGCATAGTTCACTAGGGTACCAAAAGCAATATCTAATTTCCCTAAATGTAATTTACTTAGGACTTTGCCAGATAAAAGTGATGACAGAGAATGAGGAGCCTCAATACGAGGAATTAGGAGACCCAAATGCCTGAAATCCAAAACACATCAAGTTATAACCCCTTGCCTGCCAATGCATTCAGAGGGGGTGCTGGTTACAGATAATTTTTTTATCCCTTTTTGACATCTGTCTGATCTCTCAGAGAAATGCTCTGCAGAGCTAACCAGCTGGTTTCTCACATGGGATGTGCCACAGCTCAGGTGGTATGGTTCAGCAGAAAACAATACATAAATGAAGCAGTAAGCAAGCAACAACCTGTCCATCTTTTAACTGAGAATCTCATGATCAGGGGCTGCTATTTGTAAGATTCTCATCAATAACGGATTTCCATGCTCGGCATTCTCTCACCACACATGCTGTTGTGAAATAGTTAAATAAACTGACTTAACTGATGGGAATATTTCATTTACATCCGTTACTGGTATCATGGCTGGTTTTCTTAATATATTAGAGAAATTGCCCATACTACAGCTGTCACAGGTGAAAAATCTGCATAGACATGCATAATTCATGAATCTCCAATCCCAAAGAGAGAATTGCAAAGTCTTGTTATTGCTCAAATGCCAATTTTACAGCGACTTCCCAGATATAAATGAAGAATCTGAAAAACACATCTGTCAGAAGGGGCTTTTACACTTACTCCATATCCAAGGCTGCTTGCCATTGGCCAAGGTGACTGATGCTTCTTGATTATATCCATGGCCGTGTCCCCCACCCTGCCCAGGATTTCAGTACAGCAGGTGCATTTTCGATTACATAGACCTCATATGAGGCAGCTTGAATTTATGGTAAAAGTTGATGGGAGTGGAAATTCATTAGTAGAACATGACCAAATTATAGGCATAAAAAAGAGAATTCATAGCTACATGTTTTCCAGATATTGAGTAAGTCACATTGTAAATTTGACCTGTTGCTTATAATGTTGTTGCTGTCCAGAATGTTTTTCTCTTACTCCTCTCTATAAATTTTAAATATGACGCATTTCGAAACTCCTTTATCATCTTATAAGCATTGCCCAAAGTAAATGTGAAATACAAAAAAAATTCTTATTATAAAATGGTTAGATTATATAGAAATATATGGAGCCCCTCCTTAAACACTGGTAAACTCTTAGCTACGTATACTTTAAGGATTTTTCAATGCATTTATATAATGCAGGTTCAAATAATGTTTCCTGTATAAATTTTATTGGAAAGTTTATTATTTTCATTGCTTTCTCCTTTTTTTTTATTTGAGCAAACTTTTTACTTAAGCAGAGTTTAGATTTGCAGAAAAGTTGTAAAGATAGCGTGGAGAATTCTCACATACCCCACACCCAGTTTCCCCAATTGCTAACATCTCACATGGTACATTTAGCACAACTAATGAACCAATGTCAATGCATTATTATCAACTAAAATGTATATTTTGCTCAGATTTCTTTAGTTTTCTCTAATATTCTTTTCCTGTTCCAGTTTGATGTCAGACTGCCTGGCTTCTAATGCTAGAATTCTTAGATTACTAGCTGTGTATGTCTGTGTGTTTCATTTTTCTCATCAGTAAATTGAGGTATTAATATAAAAGTATCAACTCATATGGTTGTTATGAGGGTCACATGAATGCGTGGTACTATGTATTAAAACAGTTTCTGACATTAATTAAAAGCTGAGTATAAATATGGTATTTGACAAGTATATTTTTCCAAATAAGTTTATAATCTTGAAAGATAAGTCTTTATTGTTTTTCACACATAAAATAAAGCACATACAACTTACAACAACAGCTTTGTTCATAATGGGCTGAACAAGAAAGTTTGCTGAACTGACTTTATGAGAGTAGCAATCTATTAGAATTATGCAACCTCTAGAATTTTGGGTGAAATCTCTGGAAATTTTGTATTCATTTTATACTCTAAATAAGAATGGAAAAATCATGTTAAAGATAACATTTTGTTTCAGTGTGGTTTTGTTTTTCTTGGTGGTGTTTTGTCAACAAACGTTTATTGTGTGCCTCCTATGGTAGAGGAACATGAGATGCAAAGGAAAAAGACATAATACCCTGCTTTATTAAAAAGCTTACAATTATAATAGAAAACATACCTAAAAGACCAGGATTAGAGGAGATATTTGCAAAACCATGAAAGGGGAAAGCCTGTAGGGAAAAGCCCAGTCTCACTGCAGTGGGTGGGAAAAGCTTCACCATGTTGACCCCTTTCAGGTGAGCAATCGCTTCCTTCAGCCATGGTAGCTGCCAGGCCAATGAGGCTTTGTGTGAAGGTGAACCCTTAAACAGACATGGCCTCTGACCTCATGAGACTGACAGATACTCCAGGAGGTGCTGATGGCTCCTTGTTGAGTGAGAGGAGGTAAGGGAGTTTATTCTATGGTAAACACAAAGAAGCTATAAAAGACCCTGGAAGATTAGCCTGGTCCTAAAATGTCCATCTCATCTATCAAGAGAAGATACAACCAGAATCAGGAGAGTGTTCTCAATCCCAACACTAATCCTAGTACAATAGCGTATTGTAGTTTTATTTGGTATTTGAGGTCTATTTTCATCATCCATGGCTGAGGCAGTCTCCAGGCCAATAAGCAGATCAATCGCTATTCATTGAAAAGCTCCCAGGTCCCAATTCCTATTTTGCTTCTTGTCCTGATTAGCTGTCCTATACCATGTAGAAACCTCAAAGAGCAGTTTAATTGTTTACTTTCCAAAAATCATACCATAAGTCAGATTCCTGTTACCTGAGGGTCACGCTGAAGTTACTGGTGAAGGTTATTGTCATTTGGGCCTTTGTCATTTGACATCCCTCCAGCATGCCAACTCCCTTTCTTGCTTAATTGACCGCCTTACTTTGTGAGTTTTAGCACAAGGCAAAAACCACCTCTAACTGTGCAAGAAGTCATATTTCTGCTTTCTTGGGCTCCTGGGAACCTATGATAAAGCTTAGCTAATCATTTGGATGTAAGTTGGACATTGTCTCAGAACCTGGAAACTCTGCATAATCCTTTCTGGCAAAAAAAAGAGCAGCTTCTTCCCGTGGGCACAGGGGTGGTGGATTGAGCAGCTCTGTCCTTGCTCAGATGTGGTGTCAGCAGCACTGTCTATTCCCAGGATAATCAGTGACGCTATCTTCATGAAATGAGCTCATTGGCATTGTTTCTGGTGGTGAAGTTCCACACCTAACTATCTGGCCTTCTCAGAGCTTCTGTGAACTACCCAATAACTTCTAATACATTATTTTCTGTTTTAATTAGCTAGATTAGGTCTCAGTTGCTTTCAACTAAGACTACTGATAAATAACAGCTTTTTAATTACTTTTTGTTTTAAAATATCTCCATGTATAGACAATTTAATAATACAACAAATATCCCCCCAAAATTTATCTGTATCGGTCAATTTTAACATTTTACTGTATTTGCCTCTTGATTTGAAAAAAAACTTTCTGATGTCATGACATTCATTCCTGAATATTTCAGAGCTCATCTCTTGGATGCAAGGATATTCTCCACATAATCACTCATATACTAAGAAATTTTACACTGAAGCAATAATACTGCCTAGAAGATAACTCATATTCAAATGTTACTAACTGTTCAAATTTGTTATTTATATTTTTTATTTCAAAATTCAAACAACTATCCTGTTTGGTAGCTGGTTACCATATAACTTTAATCTTCTTTAAAATAGTTTTAAAATAGTGTTCTCATCTTTTTTGGTCTTTCAATATACTACTATTTTTGGAAAGTCCAGGATGTCTATTTTGTAGAACTACCCATCTTCTAAATTTTATCTAATTTTTTCTCATAATTATATTCAGTTAAATATTTTTGTCAATAATACAACAGAGAGAATGTATATGTCCTTCTCAGTGCATCATGCCCAGACACTCACTTCATCAGTTGGTTTCATTTTTACAATAGTGAAAGAAGCAGAGCAGTGGTTGCCTAGATAGGGGCTGGTAACAGGTGGGAGAGAGGAATTTTAATTACAAAAGGGATTGATTATACAGGATTATACAGGAGAAAGCTTTGGGGGTGATAGATATGTTCATTATACTGATGGTGATTGTAGTCACACAGGTGCATGAATATGATAAAACTTACCAAATTGTAAAACTCAAATATGTGTAGTTTGTTGTAAAGCAATTATGTAATAATATCATTTGTAAGAGTGAGTAATAAAAGTAAAATTTGTTGATCAAAATATTTGCTTAAGTATTAAACAAAATTTAAAAGTCCTATCCTATAAGACTTCTCATAGGTTACCTATATAAAATAAGTGTTTTGATTCTCCATATCTTTCCTAAATCTCGTAGAGAATTGAACCTTTGTTCCTGAAGAACTCATCATCTTTTTTTCTGAACTCATGTTTCCCAGTACATAATTTGGCAAGGGTGAGCATATGTCAGTCTTTGAACATACGTACTGAAAAAAAATTCCAATGTACAGTGCTGTAACCAGGGGATAAAACAAGAACACACTTAATCCCTGTTTTGAAAACCTTGGTTTAGAAAGCACCATTAATACAAAAATTAGTAAATAAATGAAAATTGATCATGCTATAGTCGCTGTAGACTTTGGTCTACGGACTTTGAGTCTCTGTAGAGCATTTCTCTTAGAAAGTGAATAAGTCACCTACTATTATGTAACAATCCATCTCAAAATTTAGTGGCTTAAAGCACGAATGACTACTTAGTTTGCCTATAAATCCATCTGCAATGTAGGTGGGGTGTGATGGGGAAAACTTGTCGCTCCTCCACACAGCATCAGCCTGGGCACTTAACTGGAGGGTAAAGGATCCACTTTCAAGATGGTGACCTTGCAAGGCTGAGCAAGTTGGTGCTGGTTATTGCCCAGAAGCCCAGCTGAGAATGTGGCTTGTGTATTGTTTCTTTTCCATGTCAGCTCCTCTAAAGACGTCTGGAGATTTCTCACAACATGGTGGCTAGTGTTTTAGGAGTCAGTCACTCTCCCATCTTCTCTGGCACCCCCCCGCCCCCGCCTAAAGAAAAATACCTAGGGAGAAGCGCACAGAATATTTTGACCTAGAGTTGGATATCTTTCATACTGCTTTGGCCAAGTCAGTCATGAGAGTCCGTCCGGGTTTGAAAGAAGAAGATATAGACTTCTGGAATCTGGAGACTGGGTAATGAAAAGTTTGTGAAAAGACATTTACTACAGAAGCTTCTTTACAACAGGGTTTAGCTAAGATTTAATTAGTACTTCAAAACTTAGCACTATTAAATTACTGTTTTCTTATAGTTCTTCTTACATTAAGTCTTCATGATTGTTTACGGTAAACTTAATACACTGTTCAAAACTTAGCTTCAATTTTATACATTTCTCTTCTTATGAAAACAGCAAGCATATAACTTTCTGCTTTTTGTTTCTCATGGGAATCTCAAATTTTAATATGAATGTGAATAGTTAACACACACACACAGACAAAACAGAAAACTGTTAAGCAAAATACACGGTGTTTTGAAATTAAAAGTTAGTTAATTTTGAAGGAAGCTATTGTAGTATGTTAAGAATTTATTTAATTTATCAGTCTGGGAGACAGAGCTAGACTCTGTCTCAAAAAAAAATTTAATTTATTATGGAGTTGAATTTAAATTTAATTGAGCACAATTTGTTTTCAGTTTTATTTTGTGAATCTTTACTTATGTCTTTTATGTATATTTTATTTATATTAATTATATTGTGTCTTAATATAAGTATGTGTGTATACACACACAGAGCCTTTATGAATATAATGTTATATGATATTGTGTGTATATATATTTATAATATATAAAATATATGTATTATGTGTGTGTGTTTGAGAGAGAAAGAGAAAGATTTTTTTATGGTGTCATATTACACAAAACAGATGAACAACATAAAGACTATAGTGTGGTAGGAAAAAATAGAAAAAATATGTTTGGAGTTGGATATAACTTACTAAAATTCTATTCCTACACCTTGGACAGGTTAATATTCCCTAACATCACTTCCTTTTTCCATTAGTAACAGTAAAATAATGCTATCTGCCAAACTGAATGATTATAAGAAAGAATTGAAACAATATTTTAAATTTTTGTGCATAGTAGATGTTCAATTAATTTTTAAATTATTTTTCTTTCTTATTATATTGATTTATCAACAGTTTTCTACTGGTGTTTATACTTCTGACTTATTTGAATTTAATAGTTTGTTCTTGTGTTTTCTTTCAGAGATCTTAAGTATTTGTAACCATATTCATCTATGGAATGATCACACTACAGATGCAAGGGCTCGGGCATGTGGTAGATAATAAATATTTGAAAAATTAAGTTACTAATATTGATATTTTTTTCATATTTAAGTAGCTCATACATATTAACAAAATACTTGCAAAAATGTTCTTTCCTACAGCAGAAGTCTGTGAGCTTTAATTCTACCTAGAGTATGCAGATGAAGAAACTGAGACTAAGAAATGTTGAATCATGTTCAAGAACGTGCAACTAGTAAGAGAGAGAAAATCTAATTTTAATCTCATAAAAACCCCAGTTTTTATTTCAGTGTTTGCACGCTATCTCATATTTAGGGTTAATTGCAAAGTAAACAATTGCTGTAGAGAATTAACCTCTAAAATTAAGCAGCTGCACTTGATAAATTCAGCACTAGTTATTTCAGAAAGTTAGGAATAGTAGAGATTGAGAGATTTGCAGAAGGGGAAACCTTCATCATTAATGAGTTAATCTCAAAAGACAGTGTAGGTCATATTCACTATCAACTGGAATAAACCAGGAACCTCTGAAGGGCATAGCTTTGGAAGGAAGAATGGCAAAGAAAGCTTGGTTTGATATCATCAGAAAACTCATAAATGTTTCGTAAGGACTTTACAGAAGAAGAAGATAAAACCTCTCCAAATGACCTCTTTTGATTTTCTCATAATGGGGAGATTACAAATCCAGATGAAACATCAGGCCAGAATGAAGACCTGCCTTTTGAAAACCTGAAAATGCCTTGTCAAAATCCATTTTCTCCTATCTGATCCTACATGTTTCTGCTACTCTCTGCACTTGAAGAGAAAGAAGGTTATCAGATCGTCACAGCAAGGGCAGCCGTGGAGTCACCCAGAGAGGAAAATCCACCCCACTCCACTCTGACAGTCTGGCTGGCAGAGCTGATTCTCTATTCATTGAAAATGGCACAATAGAGGTGGGCCAGTTCTTTTACAGGCTGTGGGTAGTTGCCTTTTTAGTCTGATGCCTACTAGGTCTGTGCATGGCAGGTCAGCGAGATAACCAATACCAAATTTCCCCTTGGACAAATGCTGTGAATGTCGTACAAGTTAAATAAATGAGAATGTATTGAAATTTTTTACACACTATACAACATTATGCAATGTATTTCTTATAAATACATATTTTCTTATTTATTTCATTAATAACAATGTTTATTGTAGAATGATAGAAAATAGAAATAAGCAAAAAGATAACAAAATTACCATTTACTCAAGAAGCAGACATAATCTGGCATGTGTTGTGACAGAACACCTTCCCAGTATAAAATGCTATAGGTGATAGTCAATATTCCTCTCCAAAATTCTTTTCTTTAGCAATTTCAGTTCTCTTGATTACATCTAGATGAACAACTTCTTATAACCTATAGCTAGAACTATAATAAGAGAGTGTTATATCAGTATATTATTCCATACATAAATATATCTAAATCATATATCTATCATTATCATATATATTTGTATTTTTATTATATGATGCATATGTACACATATGTGTATATGCATTTACAAAATTGTATACAGCTGCACACACACACACTCACACACACATTTTTTTTTACCGTGGATGGTGGCTTGTGTGCCTACTCTCCCTTCTGTACTCATAACAATCTTAACCACCATTCTCTGTTGCTTGAGGCCTCACAAAGCGGGCACAGAAATTGTGCTAAGTAGTCAATAGGGTTTAATGGCCTGGCATGCCAGTTCTTCCAGGGGCAGCATTCATTGTGTCTGATTATTGCCACGAACCACAGATTGTTTCATGGCATTATGGTCCTGTTGGGATTCTGCTAGTTACAGCAGCTTCTCTTTTCTCTCCATCTAATAAACCTCACTCTACCCTGAAGTCAAGCCTGACTCCCAGCTCCTCCGTGAAGCGTCTCTGAATTTTTTGACCATAGTGAGTCTCTCGTTTTTTTGGACACTTAGGACCACAAACATTTTATATGTAATCCTAAATATATTTCTGATAAATATATCACTTGCATATGAGACTTCCCATTTAAGGCACATATGTCTTACCTTCCTGGCTGTGTTCATCTTTAAAGGGAAGGACTGTAAAGTTATATCTTTATATCATCATAGGAATAGTACTGGGCATTACTCAATAAAAGGGACTCAATATATCAAGATACTCAAGAATGTGTGCTTGGAATAAGTGAAAGATATATGTGTTTGCATTTTTACCAACTTAATAATAGTCTGGAATAAACTTCAAAGATTCTATACTTTTTAATTATTAATTTTTTTGACTTATTTGTCTATCTTCAACTTTATGTTAAAGGGTCTACAATGGCAAATATCTCATCTTATTAATATTGACAACTTCATGCATGCATGCCTATGTGACAGTTAAAAATAATTATTTGCTGAAGTTATAAATAATGTTATAATCTGCCTTCTCTCATATTAGCTGTCTCATATTGACTCTTGTTCTCAAGATAAGGCTAATTCTTTTTATACACAACAGTCTTTAAAGTATCTGATGATAGCTCTTGTGTCTCCCCTGTGCCTTGTCTTTCCCAAGCTAAATATCCTTAGGTCTATCATCTGGCTCTGTTTCTAGACCATTCAGTAGCTGCCTGATTTCCTCTGGAGATGGTCCAGATGTCCAATGGCAATTAGAACTGAGCACAGTTATTTAAGCAATTATTTACTCATTCTTCTTTTCTCTAATAGCTGCCTATGTGATAGGGTGATGAACAAACCTTACTCACTGTCTTTAAAGACAATGTTTTGACATTCATGTTTTGGTGACTTTGGCTGTAATGATGAGATTAAAACAAAAAGAACTCATTACCACATCAATCTCTAGGAAAGACAAGGAACTGCTTTACCCTCCCCATTCTCACTTCCTTCCAAGGCTAAGGAGAAGAAATTTCGTTAGTCCTAAAGATTATAGTGAAGTAGCTGACATGCCTAGTTGGTTCATACTCAGAAATATATTTCAGATGTAAAACACACACACACATACATACACATATATATGTATATATATGTGTATGTATGTATATATGTGTATGTATGTGTATATATGTGTATGTATGTGTGTATGTATGTGTGTGTGTGTGTGTGTGTGTGTGTTTATAAATATTGCTTTACCATTGGCTGTCTGTAATGGTAATCACTTACTTCTGAACAAACTTGAATTATTATTATTTTTTTTTTCTGTAGGACAACTGCAGTCAGATGGACCTGAGACCCTCTCTGGCTTGGAAAGAGGCAATTTTTGCCTTATTCCTTAAAACACCACAAAGAAAGTAAGTAGAATGTAGACAAGGAGGCTTGGAAGATAGGATTTCATAGTTGTTATTCACTAGGGGGCTAAAGTGTGACTCCATCCATCTCAGCAGTGTAGAAGTGCTTACTGAAGCTGAAGCCAAAACCCTAACATGTAATACAGTAGGGTATATTAAATTTACCTACTGTCTGGGGATTGAATTGAAAAAAAGCAGCTGATAGGGAATGATGATTTCCTCACGTGACAGCCTTAACCAAACAAGGCAGATGACATTACAGTTTCCACAATAGGAAAAGAGGTAGATTATGCTATAATTAATTAACACGTCTAAGGAGGTTGTGAGTAAGACTATTTGGGTGATGAAAACCTTGTCCACTAAAAGGAACCAAAATAGAGGGTAGATAATTCCACTTCAGATAGATCATCTAAGAGAGAACCCTGAAATTTAACATAAAGTCGAAGGCAATACCCAAAGCAAATAAGGAGAAGGAAGAGAGGCTGCCTGCTCACCTGCGATTGGCTGGAAGCCTTGAGAGACTCCCTAATACAAGGAAAAAGTGAGTGAGAGACCCCAGTGGTCCACATTCTCCCCATGGACAGCTGCAATTCTAGCAACAGGAGAGTTCTTTGACCCTCATTGGCCCTAAAATTAATTAAATTAAGTGTGAGTATTTCCCGAGTATTGGATAGCTCCCTAACATAGGGAACTTCCAAACAATTGCGTGAGGGGACTGCTCCAAGAGACAGGATTTGCAGGTCCCCCACACTCCCTGAGACATAAGCAGCTGCAGCAAGGCACCATTTTAAAGCCCCACCCCAACAGATGTGTAATCTCCTAGAGCCCACTGACTCTGAGGTTGAGGCACAAGAGAAGCATGGACTATTACCTTCAGGGCTGAGATATGAATGATCATGTGCTACAACTTTCAGAGCTAAGACACTTCCAAGGCACCAGCTACTACATCAGGCCTAAAGTGTGCCACTCACCAAAGCTGAGGCGTGAGTGGTGTGTGCATCCTCTACCGGCCAGTACCTCTGCTCTTTACGGTGGCAGAACAGCAGCATGGCCATGAATTCCACAGGTAGCCTGGGGATTACCTTGTCCTTGCTGGCAGTTGCACACATCATCAGGAGGCCTGAGGACAAGGCCTTCTGGGCTGCCTTTACCCCTAACCCCCAGACCAAAGCACACAGTCCAGGAACCAAGGGATCACACAGTCCTGTCAACCAGTGTTGGCTTCTAAACTTTTACCAAGGGGCCTGACGTTGGGCCTAACCACACAGCCACTGCCATCTTAGCTGGCACCTACCTGCTTATGCCACATGTGGAACTAGAGACTGGTCCATGCAGTCCATCACAGCCATTGCCAACACCAGTGCATACCACTTAAGAACCAGAAGGTTATCTTGCCACTGCGATTGCCAGCTTCTCAGAGCCTGAGAGCCCATCTACCCACCGAGCTCACTGATGCTACTATGCTACTACCAACATCTAAGTAAGTCACCTGGAGGGTCAAGAATCATCCTGACTGTACCTATTAACACAGGTGCCAGCATACACCACCCTAAAGATAGGCATGCTCAGCTCACTACTGCCACCATTAGAGATCAAAGTCTGGTCTACCTGGTATGTTAATCTCTACTCAACTTTACCACAACTTCCACTTATAACTGTATCCTAAGCCACTAAGGAAATTGCAAATAACACAAATGTCTATAGGTAAATAAATCACACAGAGACTACACTCTTGCACACACTCAGAATCAAAGCCAAATTGCCCTGCCCAAAAAACGTAATAGATACATCCTCAGGAAAAAGTCCTCTCCTACAAAAATAAATTCTAAAAACTTGAAGAAGTAACTGTTATACCAGACGTGCAGATATCAGCTAAGGAAACAGGAAACATGGAAAAGCCAGGAAATATGACACCTCCAAAGGAACACAATAATTCTCCAGCAACAGATCTTAATAAAAATAATTACAAAATTCTAGAAAAATGATTCAAATTTTTGATTCTGAATAAGCTCAGAGAAATACAACAGAATTCCGAAAAATACAACAAATAAATCAGAAAAAATAATTCCAAATGTGAATGAGAAAATCACCAAAGTGATAGCTATCATAAGAAAAGAACCAAACTGAATTTATAGAACTAAAGAATTCATTGAATAAAATACAAAATGCATCCCAAAGATTCAACAATACACTAGACTAAACAGAAGAAAGAATCTCAGAACTTCAAGACAGGTCTGTTTAAATAAACCAGCCAGATAATAATATAGAGAAAAAGTATTTTTAAAAAATGAACAAAGCATATATGACATATGGGACACTATAGAGTGAATAATTATTTAATTGATTGGGGTCTCAGAGGCCAAAGAAATAATGAAAGAGTAAAAAAATAATAATCAAACAATAAATGAAAACTTCCCAAGTCTAGCAAGAAATTTAAATATTAAAATAAAGGATACTCCGACACCAGCAACGAGATTAATACAAAACGGTTTTCTATATGGTGCATTATATTCAAAGTGTCTAAACTCAAAGATAAACAGAGAATTCTAAAACCAGCAAGATAAAAATGTCTTCTCACCTACAAAGAAACCTCCATCAAACTAACAGTGATACTAAGTAGAGGAGAAAGCCCATGCAGGCACTATTTTCTTGAGCAGACTTTTGCTGTAGGGAACAGACACTTGGTCCTGTTGGAACCTGTGGGAGACCTTATAAAAGATACTTCAAAATTATCTTAACTTGTTAGTACCAGCTGAAGACTGTCTCAGGAGTTTTACTCCCTAGCATGGCCTGACTGCCTGGTCCAGGGTAAAAGAAAGCATGCAAGTAGAAAGTTGTAAGTGGTTATACTAGGACACAATCAGAAGTTATAGGGTGATATTTGCTGAAGGGATTTTTCTTGGCCATTAACAGCAGCTGCCACAATATGTAAATCAATATGTAGAAATGTGAATAGATTTTGCTTTTTGTACAGTATATTGATACATTGTTGGAACCATATCTAAATGAAGTCAAGGTGTTTGTAATGTTAGTTTGTCTCTGTACCACTTTTAGTCTGACCACAGCTAATTGGATGAGAAGCCCTACTCTTTCATCTGTCTCCAAATCTCTCCCTTTAGACTCTAGTTCTCATTATCCTCTTCGTGATTAGTTTCATGACCAACAGAGATGAGCTATGCAGTTGTCC
The DNA here is from genome assembly GCF_000001405.40 of Homo sapiens. Taxonomy (NCBI): domain Eukaryota; kingdom Metazoa; phylum Chordata; class Mammalia; order Primates; family Hominidae; genus Homo; species Homo sapiens. The sequence goes on along the minus strand of NC_000008.11, from coordinate 137,768,912 downwards.
TACTGTATCTCTGCAAACAAAGAACCACTTATTCTCCCTCCAATTTTTTCTCTTCAACTCAACTGTTGTATATCTGTTCAAACACCCAGGAGTTCAATACCTTCTGTCAATGAATTAATGAGTTTTTCCCAATAACTTTATTGTAAAGAAAGTCACACTAGGGGAAAGGGGCTTAAATAAGATCATGTGAAAGACCAAAGGGGACTATTTTTAAAATCCAGTAAGAAATCAAGAAAATAGAAATATAAGTGATCTATCAAGAAATGATATAATTTAAAGCCTTTGGGTTAATTTCTGTGACAAAATGTTTTGTGAGTTTAAAAATTGAATTACTATAATTCAGCTCTTGGAGAAAGTATGTAATGGGCTATATTTACCGAAGGAGCTGAGGCACAACCCAAAAGCAGCAATGAAATCCCACAGTGTCTGTGAAGAATTACCTTCCACAGATGTGCTTGGAGCTCCACTGGGTCACGAACACTATAGAGCTACCAAGATAGTTTTATAAGAGAGATACTTTCAATTTCAAGGGGTAACTTTTATTTCCTCTAAGAAACAACAAACAGTACAATACCAAATAAAATTGGTTCCTTCTTTTAGGATTCTATGCATTTTTACTCCTTGGTTACTCCTCTCAGGAGATTTTATGGTTTTTTTACTGGTTGGAAAGGGCTGCAACCATGCCCAGTGTATTAGTCTGTTTTTACACTGCTATTAAGAAAACTACTTGAGACTGGGTAATTTATGAGGAAAAAAAAAAAAGATTTAATTGACTCAGAGTTCTGCATGGCCGTGGAGGTGGCAGGATACTTATAATCCTGACAGAAGGTGAAGGGGAAGCAAGGACCTTCTTCAGCAGGAGAGAGAGACAGAGTGAGGGCAGAAGTGTCACCTTAAAACCATCAGATCTTGTGAGAACTCAGTCACTATCACAAGAACAGCTAGTGAGAAATCTGCCCCCATGATCCAGACATCTCTCACCTGGCCCCTCTTCTGACTTGTGGGGATTTCAATTCAAGATGAGATTTGGGTAGGGATGCAGAGCCAAAGCATACCATTCTGCCCTTGGCCTCTCCCAGGTCTCATGCACTTTTCACATTTCAAAACCAATCATCCCTTCCCAAAAGTCCCTCAAAGTCTTAACTCATTCCAGTATTAAGTCAAAAGTCCAAGTCCAAAATCTCATCTGAGCCAAGATAAGTCTCTTCTGCCTATGAGCCTGTAAAATAAAAAATGAGTTAGTTACTCCCAAGATACAATGGAAGTGCCAGCATTGGGTAAATGTTCATAAATGTTCCTGTTCCAAATGGGAGAAATTGGCAAAAACAAAGGGGCTACAGACCCCATGCAAGTCTGAAACCCAGTGGGAGAGTCATTAAATCTTAAAGCTCTGAAATAATCTTATTTGACTCAATGTCTCACATCCAAGGCAAGCTGATGCAAAGGGTGGGCTCCCAAGGCCTTGGGCAGCTCCACTGCCATGGCTCTGCAGGGTACAGCCCCCTTTGGCTGCTTTCATGGGCTGTCATTAAGTGTCTGTAGCCTTTCCAGGTGCATGGTGCAAGCTGTCAGTGGATTTACCTTACTGGGGTCTGGAGGATGGTGGCTCTCTTCTTGCAGCTCCACTAGGCAGTGCCCCAGTGGGGACTCTGTGGTAGGGGATCCAACCCCATATTTCCCTTCTGCACTGCCACAGTAGAGGTTACCCACAAGGGCTCGATCCCTGTAGCAGACTACTGCCTGGACATCCAGGCATTTCCATACATCCTCTAAAATCTAGATGGATGCTCTCAAAGCTCAACTCTTGTCTTCTGCACACCTACAAGCTTGACACCAAGGGGTGTTGAAAGGAGCACTGCTTCAGAGGGTGCAAGCCCCAAGCCTTGGCAGTGGAAGCTTCCACTAAAGCAGTAGCCCAAGCTGTACCTTGGCCCTTTCAGCCATGGCTGCAGCTGGAGCCTCTGGGACGCAGGGTGCCATGTCCCAAAGCTACAGAGAGCAGCAGGGCCCTGGGCCCAGTCCATGAAACCATTTTTCCCTCCTAGTCCTCTGGGCCTATGATGGGATGGGCTGCCATGTAGATCTCTGAAATGCTCTGGAGACATTTTCCCCATTGTCTTGGCTATTAACATTCAGTTTCTCTTTACTTATGCAAATTTCTGCAGCAGACAGCTTGAATTTTTCCCGAGGAAATGGGTTTTTCTTTTCTACCACATGGTCAGGATGTACATTTTCCAAACTTTTACACTTTGCTTGCCTTTTAAACATAAATTCCAATTTCAGACTATCTTTTTGTGAATACACATGACTGTATGCTTTTAGAAAAATCCAGGTCATGTCTTGAATGCTTTGCTGCTTATAAATTTATCCTGCCAGTTTCCCGAAATCATCTCTCTCAAGTTTTAAGTTCCAAAGATCTTTAGGGCAGGGGCAAAATGCCACCAGTCTCCTTGCTAAGGCATAGGAAGAGTGACCTTTTCTCCAGTTCCCAATAAATTCCTCATCTCTATCTGAAACCACCTCAGCCTGGACTTCATTGTCCATATCACTATCAGCATTTTAGTCAAAACCATTCAACAAGTCTATAGGAAGTTCCAAACTTTCCCACATCTTCTTGTCTTCTTCTGAGCCCTTCAAACTGTTTCAACCTCTGGCAATCATTTAGTTCCAAAGTTACTTCCACATTTTCAGGATATCTTTATAGCAGTGTCTCAACTCCTGGTACCAATTTTCTATATTGGTCTGGCTTCACACTGTTATAAAGAAGCACCTGAAGCTGGCTATTTTATGAAGAAAAAAGGTTTAATTGATTCATGGTTCCATGCGGCTCAGGAAACTTGCAATTATGGCAGAAAGCAAAAGGGGAAGCAAGAACTTTCTTCACATGGCAGCAGGAGAGAGAGAGAGGAGAGACAGAGAGAGAGAGAGAAGTGGAGGGTGGGGTGCGGTAGTGCCAGACTTTAAAACCATCAGCTCTTGTGAAAATTCACCTATCACAAGAAGAGCAAGGTAGAAATCCACCCCCATGATCCAATCATCTCCCACCAGGCCCCTCCTCCAATACATGGGGATTACAATTTGAGAGGAGATTTGGGTGGGGACACAGAGCCAAATCATATCACCTACTAACTCCTGCAGTGCCAGCTATGCTCACAGTTCAGAGCTCCAAAAAGGGAGGATGCTGCATTATGGAGCAAAGACCTTGACCTAAACAACTACACATGCTTCAGGTGACTGTGTGCCTGAGTGTAAGTCATGAGATGCCTCTTATTTCTCAGGTGTAAGAGCCTATGAAAAAATGTCAATACTGAGCTTTGGTTTTAAACTCAAAGGTCTTTTCAAAGACATGGTCTAATCTTTAGATCTTCTAGTTTAGTGTTTCCAGATTTAGCAAATATAAATACCAGCTGCCCCCCAAATTGAAAATTTGTGTAAGCAAGAATAAATACATATAAATACAAAGTATATATGTATACTTTGTATTTATTTTGTAAAATATATATATTTGTAAAGTGTATATATATGTATATATATAAAGTATATGTATACTTTATATATATATTTGTAAAGTGTATATATATGCGTGTATATACACACACACACACACCCCCACACACATATATGCATACATAGATATTTTTAGTACTAGGATGATTCATAAAATGTTGGAGACAGTAAAAAATATTGTTTATCTGAAATTCACATTTAAATTGTGTCCTTTATTTCATCTGGTAACCACATTCTAGGTCCTGCTTTAGTGCCATCACCCTTATCTCAGTCTTGGGCTTAACACCACTCCAGGTGAAAATAGAACATTGCTATATGACTTCACTGAGGGGGCCTTTTTGAGGATATCGATCCTTTGATCCTCCCATACTTACAGTGTCTGCACCCTGTTCTCACCACTATGTTGACCATATTCCAGAGCATCCTGAAACATTAAAGGACCCTGAAGAACTAGCTGGCACAGCATGCCTGCCTCATCCCTGGCTCTTGCTTCATTCATGTGCTCACTCATGTATTGAAAATTGAGTGCATGGAGCCTTCAGCTCCCTCAGGGTCTTTCCTCTCATACATTTGAAGTGCTATTCCAAGGGCTAAGTACATCTTCTTCAATTTTCTTAATAGCAAAAACAGCTGCCCCAGCATAGAATTAATTGTATTACCTTTTTATTTTGTTCTCAAGCACTTCTTAATCTCCTACTCACATTCTTTTGCCAAGGACATTCTCTGAGCTTTGTGTGTGGGCTCTTTCATTATCTTTCCTTCCCTAGTGTCTTTTCATTACTCTCATTGCTTGTGGATTTTGTTAAGGGGAAGTCTCAATTATAATTATAGTGCTCAGAGTTGTCCTTGCCAGAAGAACAAAAAAAAAGAATCACTTGTCTACTGCCTCCTCAGATGTCAGGGTTTTTTTTATCATAGGATATTATCTGAAGTTATTATCAGAAATGTTTGCATGTGGGAGAACTTTGCACTTAGGGGCTTACATAATAGGCAGCCAGTGACTTCCCCAAATCAAAGTTGGGAGCTGTGGAATTCTCCTCATTTACTACGTGCCTTGAAGCATATAACTTAAAGGATAAATAGAAAGTATTCATTCTTCCACCTCAACTTTGGATACTTAATCACTCCCTTATGCACACACATTTTAAAATAAGATCAATGTTGGAAAATATGTAGAAAACATGTCCAAATAATTGACTAATAGTTTTAGCTTACACCATGAGTTCACATGAGATTGATGAACTATAGATTTGAAATTGTAGAAAAACATCAAGGTGCAGCATAGGGTTTCACACCCTGAAATTAAAATTTTTATGTCGAAGATGGTCAGATTTTTGACCCAACTCTTCTCTTTACCTTCCAGATACAGAGCTTGACTACATCTCCCAGCCCCACATGCAGTTAGGTAGGGTCACGAGGTGGGTCATGTGACAGGCATGTCCAGAGGAAGGTGAGCAGTCAGGATGCATTTCCAGGTCTGCCCTATAGTGATCTCTCACATTGATCTCTCTGTTTCCATCCAGAGGTTGAATGGAGACAATTCTGGGAATCTAAAATTGGGGAAGGCGTGAGATAGAAGAGACTTAGTCCTTGGTGAAGAAAAGTATCCTAGCAGCAGTTCATGACCTGGAACACCCACACTGGCCTAAATACAAGCATACAGTAAAATTTGATTGAATAAAGGCTTTATATTTTTAAGAGCAGCTAGCTTTCTAGATCAATGCAAGACATTCATTCATTCATTCATTCATTCATTCATTATGTCCATGAGTTGTTGTTCACATATGTGCTCAGTGCCTACTATGTGACAGAGTCTCTGCAAGTTATTCACCTCGGTAAATGTATACTGTATATATATCCACACATCTTCCGTTATGGAGCTTGCAGTTTACTGGGGATGAGGGACAATAAAGAAAAATGAAGTAATCATGTACCTTGTGATAAACGTGATGAAGGAAACACATGGGAGAGATAATTCCTAATGCTGAATGCCTGCCTACTCATGGTGGTCATGGCCAACTTCTTGCAGTAGATGATGTATAAGGTGAGATGCAATGTATGAAAAGGAGCCAGATTTACAGATAATTGGAGAGGAGAATATTAGGTAAAGAAAACACCAGAGCCATTAAAATGAGAAAGAGATTGGTGAAAAATAAAGGCGCTTTTGCTGAATTATACTGGGAGAGCTGAATAATGTGTAATTGGAAAAGTAGGCAAAAGACAGGCTATATGGGCCATAAGGGTCACATAGGGATTTTGGAATTTAGCTTAAGTGAAAACATGTTTATTTAACCCTTGAACAAACTTAAGCTTGGGCTTGGTATAAAAGGATTGATTCTTTACAATATTATTTATGTTGCTGTGCGTAGTATTGATTATAAGAGGATGAAAGTGATAATATAGAAAAAAGTGAGATATTGGAGTGATCAAGGTTAGAGCTAATGACAAGTTGGAGTAAGTGAGGGGCAGTTGTTGTAGAGATAAGTGGGAAGATTCAGGACATTTTGGAGGTAGAATCAACAAAGGGAAGTAAAGTTTGGATATGGGGCTGCAAAAGGAAGGATGTTAATGATGATTATCAGTTTTATAGCTTGACGACATGGACCAAACATGGTACTATTTTCTTGTTTTAAATAAGACGGGAAGAGCAGTTATTAAGGGAAGATGACGCTTTAAGACAAGACTCTCTTAGGAGATCAGTGTTGAAATTAAGTTTAATATGCTGGTGAGATATGTCTAAGCAGAGGAATTGGGCAGAAACCTGGGCATGAGATTTTGAAATTCAGTGAAAGGTTTCAACTGGAGATATAAACATCAGAATTGTGAACATAAGCATGTGTTTAAAAACATGAGAAAGAGTGAGGTCACCAAAAAAGAGAGTACAGGAAAATAAGGGCACTGAGAGCTCAGCTCTGGGGAAAGGTCAGTATGAACAAAATCTCATTGATGTACAGTATCTTCTCATCTTCAGCTCCTTTCTCACACCCCCATGGTTTCAAGTCTGGGTTTGGGATTCTTGCCCTGCTCTCCTGTAATTCAACTGCTTCCTTGTGTGCATTTCCAGTAATTTTCACCCTGTGTGTTATATCACAGAATCTCATCTGGTAACAGTTGGAAGAAAGGATCAATAAACTCTCATGATAATGCCCAACTTAATAGTCCTCCAATGTTCTGCCTCCTCTTTTAATGTATAGAATCCTGAAGAAAGACTAAAACCATAGGTACTAGAGCCGAGCTATGTAGACCAGTTCAACAAAACCTTATTTCTGTCCTCTGTAGTCACTATGGAAACAGAGAGAGACATTTTTAGGGCTGATCTATCTAAAATGTACCCAAAAAGTCCTTTGACATTCTAGAGCATTCCAAATTGCTCATTTCTATTCTCCAGTTTTAGTACAGTAAAATCTTTAGTAACATCCAGGGAAATATACTTCCTGGAGCATTAATTACACTGTTAAGGGAAAAGTGACTGGATCTGCTTTAAGGTTGAATTACTGGAATTAAATAATTCATTATAATCTCTATGTAATCCCTATTGGGAGAAAAACCACACTGTCTATGTAGTTAGCTCTCTTCAAATCATTCATTGGAGATGTAAAGGAACATTACCTATTTTATGACTTGTTGTAAACATCACCCTTGAGTGAAATAAATCGTTTCTTTAGCCTCTTTCTCTGAATATATCTCCATCAGTCTGACTTTCTCTCTTTGGAGACAAGCAACAAACCATAATTTATTTTCTTTGTGATTAGTCTACAAGTATTTCCTATACTGAGCTTTGAAAACCAAAAGTTTATTCAAATGAACAAACTTGAATGTACCTTTTATGCCAGATACTGTGCAGGAAGTTGGAGATAATTGAAATTACAATCTTGTCATCCAGAGAGACAATAAAAGTGCAAATTAAAGACCTAGGAATGAGCATCACATTTGAGAGGAAGAAGAATTTTGAAGATGAGACTAAAGTTTTTTACTCACGTGTCTGGGTATGGACAGTTATGGACAGAGACTGGTGGTACACTTTGGCAGTCTGGGACATACTTAGTTTGAGTATGTTAAGAAATAGCGAGATAGACATTCTGTTAGACAGTTGTATACTTGACTCTAGAGTTTGGAAACATATTAAATATAGAGAAAAAATCATCTATTGTGTGTATCCAATTAGCAGCACTAAAGCAACATTGCTTTTTTTCTCCATTACTTAGATATAAACTAAAAGGTGAGAAAAGTGAAGGCGGAGAGAGATTTAACATGTGTGAAGCACCTGGTTTTGCAGTATCTCATTGTAACCTTCTTGTGAGTTTATGGCATGTATACGAACCTTGGTTCAATAAAAAAGGAAACTAAAGTTCAGGATATGGAGGGACCTGCTCCTTCTGGGACTCATCCTTTGGCCTGGTTTACCCCAAAGCTCATGTCTTTCACCACGCTATTCGGAGACTGTGATGTCTGTCCACGAAGCTGGCTGATGTCTGACCTTCTGTGTGATACTTTCATCTCTGGTGACACCACAAATATCCTAGTGGTATTATTTGACCTCAGAGCATCTTGCCTTGCATATGGAAGGAGCTCAAATGCTCAGGACATGAGTAGATGGATAGAGGAACTAATAATGATAAAAAGATTAAGTTTGATTTAAAATCACTACACCAAACTATGAAAACTTATAAATTGTGAATTTGACAATAATACACCCTTCTCCATTAAAAGCCTTCAAAAAACCCATATTGATGGTAGAATAAGGCCCTAAATATTTTTAAATGACCTCTAGAACTTTTCAATCTGATCCAATATGTTTATTCAGATATTCATCCCACAATTCCTATTTATTCACTATGACTCAGTCATCGCCCATGCAGAATGGCCTTTATTTATCATTTTGCCTTGAATATTCTCCTTTAATCATTTAAGATCTAATTTCTATTCTATCTTTCTGGTCTACTGAATGACTCTTCAGCTCTCAAGACTTCCCTGGTTTACCTCAGCTAGAAACAATGCCTCTCTCCTTTGAACAAGCCTATTTTTTACGTTCTACCTTTCAATTAATATTGTATGAACTTTTCTTATTTTACACGACAAAACGGTGAACTTCCTGAGGACATTATTGGGATTGAATTGAAAGTTCTTTCTTCCCTAAATTCCTGGTACAGGGAGATGGCTATTTGGGGCCTGAAGTGGATGAGGAGTTGCTTTAAGTGGCGAAAGAGAAAAGATAAGAGTTAATGAAAATAAACTTAAAAATAAATTCAAATACTTTCTTCAGCACCATTTTTTCCTCTTCCTCCTCCAGGATCAGTGAAAGAACTAGAAACATACAAAGGAAAGTGCAACTTAAATTACCTATCGTGGTTTAACATATGTTCTTTGAAGTGTTGATAATAATATTTGGGAAATGTAAAATATAGTAGGCAGTAAAGTAAGTAGTAATTGTCTTGAGGTAGCCATTCATTACACCGTATTTCATTTCACCTAATATTTTCTGTGAACATATATAGAGTAGGAGTTCATGGGTTAGCGTTTTTAAGCCATATCACACACAATATATTATGAGTAAGAATTGCATGACAGTGGATGTAAATCATTACCAGTCATTGTTTTAATTATTACATAGCAGTTTGTTGTATTAATATGTTTTTTGTTTCATTTCCATAATCCCCTTTTTAATAACTTAGTTATTTGTGATTTTATCTTTTATAAAACTTGCTGTGATAAACCTTAAAATTATATATTTGTACATGAGTTCTTTTTGTATAGGATAAATTCTAGAGTTTAAATTGTCGAATCTGAGTTCACTAATTTAATATTTTACTCATTCAACAGTCATTTCTACACTCACCAGTAATATTCAGGATGGAGAAAGAGGTTGTCTCACTATATTATCACCAATAGTGGGTGGATTATTTTAATAAATTGCCATTCTGACAACTGAATGAGTACACACATGTGTATACACACACACACACACACACACACACACACGGAGATGTATCTTTTTCACTCTCCTCTGTCACAGCGAATCTCCACATGTTTATGGAATTAGGTATCATAGAGACATGTCCTCCCTAAGCCAAGTAGATTATTGAGCTCATAGTTTAAATAATATAAGAAGATCTCTCATGGGTATTCCATGTTTTAGCCTTTCATCTACCGTGTGAATACTTGCTCGTGTGAGATTTTTGTTTGTTTCCTCTTACTGATACATCTTGAATTGTTGATAGTTATGAATTATTTAAATGAGAATTTTGAAAACTCCCAAGCCTGTGCCAGGCACTGCCAAGGAACATAATATAATTAAGGAATTTGTGATGGCAGGCAGAGCAATAACCTACCTCTTAATCATTTATGGAAAACTTGGAATTAGCAGCAACGGTTGATTGGCTGATTTTTTAAGCTGTTCTGCTTTTTCTCTGGTCACAGCATTTGATAACTATGCTATTTCACCATTTCATCTATTTCTCACCTGCTATTATAGGGTTGCCCTCTGAAATGCAACTGTTTTGGGGGTGAAATTCTGCAACATTTTGCACACCAGTGATCAAACCACAGGTCAGTTTGAAGGCACAGGGATAAGAAAGGCTGCAAGTGTGATCACCATCAGGCCTCTCACCACCACACACTCACAAGTGCAGGGAGCAGAGCTCTAGCTGATAGAAACGTGCCAAAGAGCCACAGAGTTCCAAAGTTAGATCTGGGAGAAAAACTAGTTGAAGTTCCTTTCCTATGAATAAGAAAAACAGGGACCAGAAACGTGTAGATATGTTTAGAATAAATTAAGAGCTCAAATTCATGTCTCCTGACTGAGGTGAAAGATTTTCTGCTTCACTATATAGCATTTAGTGGACTTTTAAACTTAATCTTGCTTATGCTACTGTTTCCTTAAAATTACTCTGTGAGAAAGACAGATCTATCAGTATTCCAATACCTATAGGGTAACATAAAGCAAATGGTTAATGACTGCTTCCTCTTTGGTCTCATTTCTGTTCATATAAAGAACTATTATAGCATCCTTGCACTACATCACAGTTGTTGGCGTACAACACAATGTGTAAAATGGAATTGGGTCTAAATCTGCAGAGTCAGTATTGCAGAATGCTTAAAAATCCAGACACTAAGCTTACAATCAGGTATAAATTGGTTTTGTTTCTTATTAATTGTACGATTTTCAGAATTTATTAAAATTCTCACTTTCTCAACTTTAAGATCCATAAAATGAGAATGAGAATGACAGTATCTATATAATGCCAGAGGGCTATTTTAAGAGATAATCATATGATATTAGACAGAAGTCTTCACATGTTTGTCAGTTGATAGAAAGTCCATCTTAAAGTGATTTGGGTTTAAACAGAAAATACTTCATTTGAATAAATTTACATGCACATATTGGTTTACATAAATATAAATTACAAAGATACAAGCTGCACATGTGATTCCCAGTATCCATATTTTAGCCTTACTACTTTCGAGCACATTCTTCATTTTCAGATTGGGCTAATAAATTGCTGATCTTCTCACACAATGTCTAGATGAAGTGGAAGAATCTTTCATTCCCAGAAATCCCAGCAAGCATTGCCTTAATTCTCATTGGCTTGATTTGGAAGTAAATTTTCACCCTGAATCAATCCCTGCAGCCAGTGGAGGACAATGTGCTAATTTACTTAGCAAGTCAAGAATGAAGTGATCTGTGGTGTAGGGCCATGTCAATTCCTCCTACACAATGAGGTTGAATTTGGAAAAGGATGTTTTACTGGAGAAAATGAAGGACATTCTTATAACACAGGAGGACAATGGCTGTAGGAGAGACATGCCACTGAGCTCTACATGTTTAGACATGTCCCTGGCATGGAATGAGCTCTTAACATTTAGTCATCAGTCCTTTATTAAAAGATGAAGCCCTCATAGAGATGGAGAAAGTGGAGCAAAACTGATCGAGTTGCTTAAGGGAAACATAAGCAGCTGCACTGTAAACCTAGACCAACTGCCTCTCAGTACATTTTGTTTTTCCATTCCTCCATGTTGCCTCACTATACTTTTAGTTCTAATAGTATTTTTATGCATCTCTAGGTTTTTCCAAATATAAGATTATACCAGTTGCCAACCAAAATAATTTGAACTTTTCCATTCCAATTTGCATTACCTGTATTTCTTTCTTATGCCTGACTGCTCTAGCTAGGACTTCTAATATTATACTGAATAATGGTGAAAATGGGCATCCTTCTGGCCCAAGGCAGGTCCAGAAATTCCATCCAAGAGCCAAGGCTTGGAATCAGGGACCCCAACAGCTCACTTGGTCTACCCTCTGACTAAACTGGTACCTAACATGCAAGAAAACATCCCCTTTACTTTTCCCTCTGCTTTTCTCAAGCAGAAGTCTCGCCCCATAGCCACCACAGGTGGGGATGTGCTGTCTCACCTGAAGCCAGCAAGTCTCAATATTTCACCCAAGCCCTCTATGTAGTTTCATTTCACCCAAGCCCTCTGGGAATCACTACTTGTTATTCTGGGCCCAAGGGCTCTACAGTTAACAGGTTATGAAGCCTGCCAGAACTGGATCCTTTCCTTTAAGGCAGCAGGTTCCCTTCTGACCCGTGTGTGTTTAGAGATGTGGTACAGGAGGTAGCGTCTAGAAAGGGAGCCTCATGTCTTTGGTACCTTATCCTGCTATGCCTAAGCTGGTATTCAAGATGCAAGACAAAGTCTTCACTACTGTTCTCTCTCCTCTCCTCAAGTAGAAGAAGGGGTCCCTTTTAGAGCCCCGAGCTCTGCAGCCTAGGCTTAAGGGAGGAATGACGCCAGCACTCCCTTAGCTGCCCCAGCTGGTGTCTCAGTAGGTCTTGTGCCCCTGCACTCCTCTGGCTCTGGGCCCAGTTCAGAACTAGGATTTGCCCAGGGGTTGCAGTCTGTGTGGCCTACACTGCCTTTAAAGTTTATTTAAGACCCTAGAGCCCTTTAGCCCACAGTGGCGAGACTTGGAGGAACTCATGTTCTGACTGCTGGTGAGAGGTTCTGACTGCTGGTGAAAAAACAGTGTACCCTATTGCTTTAAAAGCCAGGGTAAATGTCTATCTACCCAGCCAAGGCATATTCTACTTATGTGGATCTTCAACCCATATCTGCCTCTCAAACAGTTTGCAAGAAATAATGAAATCTATCCTTACTTTACAATCCCAAATAGACTGTTTGGCAGCAGTGACTCTCCAAAAACCGCCGAGGCCTAGACCTCCTCACTGCTAAGAAAGGACTCTGCACCTTCTTAGGGGAAGAATGTTGTTTTTACACTAACCAGTCAGGGATAGTACGAGACGCCACCCGGCGTTTACAGGAAAAGGCTTCTGAAATCAGACAACGCCTTTCAAATTCTTATACCAATCTCTGGAGTTGGGCAACATGGCTTCTCCCCTTTCTAGGTCCTGTGGCAGCCATCTTGCTGTTACTCGCCTTGGGGCCCTGTATTTTTAACCTTCTTGTCAAATTTGTTTCCTCTGGAATCGAGGCCATCAAGCTACAGATAGTCTTACAAACGGAACCCCAAATGAGTTCAACTAACAACTTCTACCGAAGACCCCTGGACCAACCTGCTGGCACCTCCCCTGGCCTAGAGAGTTCCCCTCTGAAGGACACTACAACTGCAGGGCCCCTTCTTCACCCCTATCCAGCAGGAAGTAGCTAGAGCGGTCATCGGCCAAATTCCCAACAGCAGTTGGGGTGTCCTGTTTAGAGGGGGGATTGAGAGGTGACAGTGTGCTGGCAGTCCTCACAGCCCTCACTCGCGCTCGGCGCCTCCTCTGACTGGGCTCCCACTTTGGCAGCACTTGAGCCCTTCAGCCCACCGCTGCACTGTGAGAGCCCCTTTCTGGGCTGGCCAAGGCCAGAGCCCGCTCCCTCAGCTTGCAGGGAGGTGTGGATGGAGAGGCGTGAGCGGGAACCCAGGCTGTGCATGGTGCTTGCGGGCCAGCTGGAGTTCCGGGTGGGCGTGGGCTTGGCAGGCCCCGCACTGGGAGCAGCCGGCCGGCCCTGCCAGCCCCGGGCAATGAGGGGCTTAGCACCCGGGCCAGCGGCTGTGGAGGGTATACTGGGTCCCCCAGCAGTGCCAGCCCACTGGCACTGCACTCGATTTCTCACCGGGCCTTAGCTGCCTTCCCGCAGGGCAGGGCTCGGGACCTGCAGCTCACCATGCCTGAGCCTCCCACCCCCTCCATGGGCTCCTGTGTGGCCTGAGCCTCCCAGACGAGCACCACCCCCTGCTCCACGGCACCCAGTCCCATCGACCACCCAAGGGCTGAGGAGTGCGGGCGCACGGCACCGGGACTGGCAGGCAGCTCTACCTGCAGCCCTGGTGTGGGATCCACTGGGTGAAGCCAGCTGGGCTCCTGAGTCTGGTGGGGACGTGGAGAACCTTTGTCTAGCTCAGGGATTGTAAATACACCAATCGGCACTCTGTATCTAGCTCAAGGTTTGTAAATACCCCAATCAGCACCCTGTGTCTAGCTCAGGGTTTGTGAATGCACCAATCGACACTCTGTATCTAGCTACTCTGGTGGGGCCTTGGAGAACCTTTGTGTCCACACTCTGTATCTAGCTAATCTGGTGGGGACGTGGAGAACCTTTGTGTCTAGCTCAGGGATTGTAAACGCATCAATCAGTGCCCTGCCAAAAGAGACCACTCGGCTCTACCAATCAGCAGGATGTGGGTGGGGCCAGAGAATAAAAGCAGGCTGCCAGAGCCAGCAGTGGCAACCCGTTTGGGTCCCCTTTCACACTGTGGAGGCTTTGTTCTTTCGCTCTTTGCAATAAATCTTGCTACTGCTCACTCTTTGGGTCCACACTGCTTTTATGAGCTGTAACACTCACCGCGAAGGTCTACAGCTTCACTTGTGAAGCCAGCGAGACCACGAACCCACCGGGAGGAAAGAACAACTCCAGACGTGCCGCCTTAAGAGCTGTAACACTCACCGCGAAGGTCTGCAGCTTCACTCCTGAGCCAGCGAGACCACGAACCCACCAGAAGGAAGAAACTCCGAACACATCTGAACATCAGGAGGAACAAACTCCCGACACACCGCCTTTAAGAACTGTAACACTCACCGCGAGGGTCTGCGGCTTCATTCTTGAAGTCAGTGAGACCAAGAACCCACCAATTCCAGACACACTGGGACCAGCAATTCCCCTGTGGCGTGAGCTGGTTTAAATGCTCTCTCCAGGGACAGGTGTCAGCTGAGTTTGGTCTGCTTATTATTTCTGCTTTAACAAGGCAGCACTGAGTTCAATGCCTTACAACTGCTGAGTTCTCCTCTCCAATGCACAGAAACGCTCTCCAGACTGCTGCTGCCGGGGGTTGGAGGAGGCATGGCATCAGTGATTCAAGACTCTTTTTCATACCTCTTCGGTGCTGCTTTCAGTGATATGAAGTTAAAACCTGGTATTGTGAGTGTTAACTTAATTTTTGTTCTTATGAAGGTGCTTTTTTTGTTTGTTTGTTTTCTGTGTAAATAATTGTTAAATTGGTGCCTTTGAATGGGGGGACAATTGGTGGAGCCCTCCATTCCACCATCTTGCTTGGCCTCCTCTGCTGCTTATATTTTTTTATAAAGCAAACGGTTGGTAAGGCATTTTTATATTTGTTCATTCATTTATTTATTCAACATATTTGTTGAATAGATAATAATACACTAAGACTTAATAGGGTGACTACTGATTCTCATTTTATGGAGAATAAAAGTAAAGTTTAATAAATATACTAAGCTAAATATATTCTTAACCTGTTCAAACTGCTATGAAAAAATACCAAAAACTGGGTGCTTTAGAAACAACAGAAATGGATTTCTCACAGTTCTGGGGGCTTGGAAGACCAGAAACAAATTGCTAAAAGAATTGATATCTGGTAGAGGCCCATTTTCTGATTCATAAATGGCATTTTCTTGCCATGTTCTCACACAGTAAAAGGAGCTAGCTAGACTTCCTTGGCTTATTTTATAAGAAAACTAATTCCAGTCAGAAGGGAATTTGCCTTCATCACCTAATCACTTTTCAATAACCTAACCTCCTAATGCTATCACCCGGGGAGATATAATTTTAATATATGAATCTGTAGGGCACACAAACATTCAGATCACAGCATATATGCAAGCCTACACCAATAGTAAAAGAGAGCTGAGACAGACAGCTTTCCTCTGATTTCATACACCTTCCTCTGGTGCCTTATAAGAGATGAGAAACTCCTGGGATCATCTCCACATTGTCTATGTTAATAATCACTTTCCTATCTTCCTAATATTGATAATTGGTATCTGTTGTGAGTGACGGACTAATCTGGAAAATCCTGTCAATCAAGGTCTCTTCTCAGTTACCAAACTCACTTTGAAATGCCACCATCCCACCCTGCAAAACTTGTTATGAATGTTTTTATTTCCCTACATCATCTGCTTTCACTGAAACTGAAGCAGCCTTCAAAAGACATCACCTCACTCCAAACTGAAACATCTGAAAGAAAATACATATATCATCATTTTCCTATTTATTAGGCAAGGGTTCTCCAAAGAGACAGAACCAATAGGATAGATAGATAACTGATTGTTAGATAAAAGAGATATATGAGAGGGGCTTCATTAGGGGAATCGGCTCATATGATAAGGGAGGCTGAAAATGACACACTGTCTGCAATCTAGGAAGCTAGAAAAGCTTTTTTTTAAATATATATGTGGACCTTCAGCTGACTGGATTGTGCCCACCCATACTGGATGACAGTGAATCTTCCTTTTTCAGTTCACTGATTCAAATGCCAGTGCCTTCCAGAAACACCCTCACAGACACAGCTAGAAATAATGCTTTGCCATCTATTTGGCTATGTTTTATTCAATGAAGTTGACCCCTAAAATTAATCATCACATCTATATTTTTATATGTTAGCTAAACTGCTGTAGTGGATATAGGTGAACATATGGATGGGTATATAGAAACAAACATAAAGATAGAAATGTACATTCACACAAATACATTATCATTAAATATTAATAGTTATTCTCAAGGTGGTAGAGAAGATATGTTTTTTTTAAAAATATAGATTATGGTACTTTACAAATTTTTTATAACACATGCATTATTTTATTCATTTTTGTGTCACTTTAGAAATTAGAAATAAATGTTATTAAAGTGATGGTTAAATATGTGAGGATTTCTGATATGGTTTGGCTCTGTGGCCCCATCCAAATCTCACCTTGAACTGTAATCCCCATATCCCCACATATCAAGGGTGAGACCAGGTGGAGGTAAATGAATCATGGGGATGGTTTCCCCTATGCTAATCTTATGAAAATGAGTGAGTCTCTGATGACTGAAGGGATCTGATGATTTTATAAGCATCTGGCATTTCCCGTGCTTGCACTCATTCTCTCTCCTGTCATCCTGTGAAGAGGTGACTTCTGCCATGATTGTAAGTTTTCCTGAGTCCTCCCCAGCCATGTGGAACTGCGAGTCAAGTAGTCCTCTTTTCTTTATAAATTACGCAGTCTCGGGTATTTCTTCATAGCAGTGTGATAACGGACTAATACAATTTCCATGAGAACATTGTTGAAACAAGTAATGTAAGAACATTAAAACAGACATTCTCAAATGAAGCTATGAATACACTTATTTGATTTCCATTTCTGTGTCCATGTATTTATATTTATTCATACCTATGTCTCTATTTCTTAATAAAGTGGAAGTCAAAGGACAGCAATAACTAGTACTTATTGGTACTTTTTACAAATTATCTCATTTAATTGTCATAAAACAAACCAATAAGGATTGGGTTGTCGAAAATAAATAAGCATGAATAGATAACACTGTAATCATCATAATGGATTTGGGTAACATACTAAGAAGCTTAGATTTTGAATAAAAAAATAATAATCACATTATTTTGGTGTGCCTGGGACATGACTTTGACCTCCTTAGAAAGGTAGTATTTGATTTTAGAAAAATTGTATACTTTTGTGTTATAGTGATCCTTTACTGTTAGTAAGTATATGTGTGAATTTGACTAATTTATTTAACCCATCATTCCTTAGTTTTTTTGTTTATTTGTTTTTGAGGCGGAGTTTCACCCTTCCTGCCCAGGCTGGAGTGCAGTGGTGCAATCTCGGCTCACGGCAACCTCCACCTCCCAGGTTCAAGCAATTCTCCTGCCTCAGCCTCCTGAGTAGCTGGGATTACAGGCATGTGCCACCAAACTTGGCTGGCTAATTTTGTATTTTTAGTAGAGATGGGGTTTCTCCATGTTGGTCAGGCTGGTCTTGAATTCACGACCTCAGGTGATCTGCCCACCTCAGCCTCCCAAAATGCTGGGATTACAGGCATGAGCCACCGTGCCCGGCTGTTCCTTAGTTTTTTGTCTCTGTAAGTTAAAATTAAAAATGACTATCTATCTGATATGTGGATTTTCAAAAGGATTTATAACATAACATATATAAATTTTAGAACATACAGCTTTTTTATTAATTTTGATGAATGCAATACTCTACCCCACTGTGATTAATTTTATATGTCAGCTTGACTGGGCTATGTGATAACAGACATTTGGTTAAACACTATTTGGGATGTGACTGTGAGAGTGTTTTTGAATTAGATTAACGTTTGAATAAGTAGATGTAGAAAAGCAGATTGCTCACCAGCATGGCACATGTATACATATGTAACTAACCTGCACAATGTGCACATGTACCCTAAAACTTAAAGTATAATAAAAAAAAAAAAGAAAAAAGAAAAGCAGATTGCTTTCCCCAATGTGGGTGGGTCTCATCCCATTAATTAAAAACCTAACTTGAGCAAAAAGGCTACATAAGAGGGAACTCTGCCTGTCTTTGAGCTGGGACTTTTCTTATCTCCTGCCTTTGAACTCAGACTAGGACTGTAATTTGCACAATCAGCTCTCCTGCTTCTTAGGGCTTCGGATGTGAACTGGAACTGTACCATCAGCTATTCTGGGTCTCCCACTTGCCAGCTGCAGATCTTAAGACTTTTTAGTCTCCATAATTCCATGAGTTTATTCTTTGTAATAAATCAATTGACAGATGGATTCTATTGGTTCTGTTTCTTTGGAGAAGTATGGCTAATGCATCTACTAAGTACACAAGAAATAGTCCTGTGCAGCTTTTCTCCCTGAACAGACCGTAAGCAAGCATATGTACACAGACAATTTATTTTAGAATGTAACCCTGTGGGAAAAAAGTGGGTGGACTGCGAAACATTGAAGGTTTCAGGAAAATAAATAGCAAGGGAGAATAATTGAGCTGCTTGCTGCACAGGGCAATGAATTCTAACTTTCACTAGCACCCTGTGAGAAACCCCAGAGAGTATTCTTCAGTGTAATCTACATGAGGCATAGGGAAGTGGACACTTGTCCATTGAAGTCCGTGCCCTATTTGTCAATATCTCCCCTGTGGTATTAATCCCTTTATTTTTCCTGATGTTGCATGCTGTTGCCACAAAGAGAACAAAGAGACTGCAGATCGGAGCAAGTTAGGCATGGTATAGCTGACACCAAGAGCCATGAGACTACACTTACATACAGGTGGTTGATACCACAATTACTGGATCAAAAAGGAGGACCACGACACTGTGAGACAGGATAGCAAATATTTCTACCACACACCTTTAGGGCCATTCAAGTTCGTCCGAAAGCAGTGTGATTTAATGGAATAAGCAACATATGCTAATCCATGAGACTTCAGCTTAGATCACAATTTAGGACAACAGCAGAGACACCTTGAAAAATGGGGGTAATGCTTTTTGTTAAGTGAGGACAGAGGGTAGTCTGATTTGAAATTACTTCCTGGCCATGAGCTCCATCATAATTTCTACTTTCTGCTGTATGGTTTTGTAATTTTCCTTTTATCTTTAGTCAAGAAGCTTCCATCTTCTATCATGATATATGACTTAAAATTTTGTAAGTGTGAGAGGCTGCCAAGTAATTGAGAGAAAGTGTTCTGCCTTGAGAAGTATCAGGAATCAGAACACCCAGGATTTAGGCTCACTGTGTGACTTGTTAGGTCTTTGACATTGTTCTAACCCCTTGTCTTCTCAGCCTAATTTTTCTATTTTGTGAAAGGGAAGACTTTTATAGACTCTTTCCTACCAGAGTTAAAAAAAAAAAAAATCTTGTAGCATGGTTTTGAAAGTGAAGAGAAATTGTACACACCATACATGCTTCTCTTTCTTCTCTAAGACATACAATTCAATAATGATATTTACATCCTAATCCACTGCACAAATGAGTCTGGCAAAATGCCTCCAAGCTTCTTAATGCAGTCCATTTCTATAGGAAAAGCATTTTCACACATTAAGGCAGGAAACAAAAATGAGTCATTCTCTCTCTGGTGATCAGACTGTTTATTCAGTAAACATTTTCCCCCAGAAGTGCTTTTTAGAGTCCCTGCTGTGAATCATCATTCGACCTCTTATAACATGAAGTCTGAGCAGCTATGATTCTAGACTAATGGGGTTGTAACTGATCTATTTTGAGGATAGATCCATTAGATGCTAATTACACAAAGAGTGTCCAAGTTAATCCCATCTTTTCTGTTTCTATAATCTTTGGCCGTACACAGTAGTAGCTAAATCCATCCATCTCCATAGAAACAGAGGAAGCTATAAAGAACCAATAGAGCTGGATGATGCTAGAGTCTGTAAGTAGAAAGTAATTGCATTTTAAACATGTAGAATGTCAGCTTTCAGAATAGAAGACTTCATGCCCAGACCAGGAGAAGGCAAAGAAGGACACTGGGCATGAACCGCTGGGTTTGTAAGCCACATAAAGGAACCATAGGTAGAGAATTTGGAAAACAGTAGCCCAGACAGGAAAGGCATGAGGTAAAAAGAAAGTTGTATCAGAACTTGTTGCCAAAATGCAGGAGTTTCAGGAAAGAGAATAGAAGTGGTTTAGTGGCATTCAGTCAGGATACCTGATATATTGCCTATAATTTACCATGTGTAAAAATCTGTACCCTGGGGATAAAATAGCAAGTAAGGTAGACATACAGACATAATTTCAGTCCTTATTAGGCTTGCATTCCTTCAAAGGATAAAGGTGATAAACAAGCTGGAAAGAAAATACATAAAATAATTAAAAGACTCATGAAGTCTAATCAAGCATATGAAAGGGGTAGAATATTAAAATCAGAAAAAAAGAAAGTTGTTATAATTTGGGTAGTCAGAGAAGACCTCTTTGAAGGATGACTGACAAGATGAGACTGGGATGTTAAAAGCCAGTTTGCAATAAATGGTTTCAGAATATTGTAGTCTGAGGCAAGAACACAACATGCAGGCTTGTGAAGGTGAGATCTGCAGAGCATTTCCCCTAGGATCTGCTGGGTTTAGGTCCCACCGTCCCCTTGACAAGTTTTCTTTGTCAGATGATGCATGTTACTGAGAATGACGATGATTCAAATCATTTCTTTTTTTTTTTTTTTTTAGACAGAGTCTCGCTCTGTCACCAGGCTGGAGTGCTGTGGTGTGATCTCGCCTCACTGCAACCTCCGAATCCCTGGTTCAAGGGATTCTCCTGAGTAGCTGGGATTACAGAGCTTGGATTACAGGCATGCGCCACCACACCCGCCTAATTTTTGTATTTTAGTAGAGACGGAGTTTCACTGTGTTGGCCAGGATGGTCTCAATCTTCTGACCTTGTGATCCGCCTGCCTCGGCCTCCTAAAGAGCTGGGATTACAGGGGTGAGTCACTGTGCCCAGCCAAATCAAATCATTTCTAAGTCAAAAATTATTTTATTCGCTGCACTTTGACAGATGAGCTCAAGAAACTGGTTTGAACAGCATTTAGTGGCAAAAAGAGGATAATGCTTGGCCACTCAATCTCTTGAAATTATCAGTTACAAGAACATTCTACTCACTTAAGTTTCCCTGTTTACATTATAAAACTAGAAATGTGGCGAATTTCCCCATGAAACTCTTTGGACATGGACAGCATCTATAGGTATCATGGGGTCGGTGGTGCCTGGAAGAGGCCAGTCCTTTCTTGTCTCTGACAGTTGACATTTTAGGGCTGTTACCTGTAGGCGCAAACTTGGGTTGTCTTCACAAAGCTGCTTTGTACGGCCTAGATACAGTGAGGGGTGTCGCCGTCTGTCACTACTGCTCCCAGGGCAACAGACCCAACATCTCAGATGGTGACAGCTTAAGAACCTTAGCTCTCCCACTTTTACCTGACAATGTGGATAGAGGGTGCTTGCAGGAAAAAGGATCTCAGACAAATATGAAGATGAGATATATAAAGCTAGATGATAGGCTAGGAAGAGAGGTGCAGAGAACAGTTTGTCAAATGGGCTAGTAAAAAAGAACATCTGGGGCCGGGCGCGGTGGCTCACGCCTGTAATCCCAGCACTTTGGGAGGCCGAGGCGGGAAGATCACGAGGTCAGGAGATTGAGACCATCCTGGCTAACACGGTGAAACCCTGTCTCTACTGAAAATACAAAAAATTAGCCTTGCATGGTGGTGGGCGCCTGCAGTTCCAGCTACTTGGGAGGCTGAGGCAGGAGAATGGCATGAACCTGGGAGGCGGAGTTTGCAGTGAGCTGAGATCGCGCCACTGCACTCCAGCATGGGTGACACAGTGATATTCCGCCTCAAAAAAAAAAAAGGAACATCTGGGAAAATCCAGAGATATAGGCTGGTACCATGGTTGCTTTCATGAACTTTCTAGAGAGTGTTGTGACTGAGGGTCAGATTTATGTAAAGGACCAGGAGGAACACTCATCAAATTTCCAATTTTAGCCAACAGAAATCTTGACTCCAGTTATTTATTTCATCATTCTTAATCCTTTTTTGCCCAAAATCTTTACTGTAACATACTGAGAAAATAATTATGTAAATTAATCTGTAGAAGTTCTAGGGTAAAAATAATCACTCCAGATTTCCCTCATGGAATACCAAAAAAAAAAAAAAAACCTTTAAAAAATACCTTTAAAAAACAAACAAACACAACTTCAACAGTGGAAAAAAAAAAAGGAAAGAAGAGATTTGGAAGGGCTAATTTATGATTTTGTACCCCTTAAATTTATACAAATAAAAAGACCCCAGTATAATAGATTTCAATATCCCAGTTTCAGCATTGATCTGATCACCCAGATAGAAAGTCAACAAAGAAATACTGGACTTAATCTGTAGTATAAACTACATGAACCTAATAGATATTTACAGAACATTTCATCCAACAGCTACAAAGTATGCATTTTTCTCCTCAGTACATGGATCATTGTCAAGGATAGACCATATGTTAGGTCATAAAACAAGTCTTAAAACATTCAAAAAAATTAACATCATACCAAGTATTTATCTGACCACAATGAAATAAAACTAGAAATCAATAACAAGATAAACTTTGGAAACTGTACAAACCCATGAAAATTAAGGAATATGCTCCTGAATGACTGGTGGAACAATAAAGAAATAAGAAAAAAATTGAAACAAATGATAATGGAAACACAACATACAAAAACCCGTGGGATACCACAAAAGCAGAACTGAGAGAAAAATTTATAGCTATAAGTGCCTACTCAAAAGAGAGGAAAAAATTCAAATAAACAATCTAACGATGTGTCTTAAAGAACTAGAAAAGCAAGAGAAAACCAAACCAAAAATCAGTAGAAGAAAGGAAATAATAAAGATCAGAGCAGAAATAAAGAAAACAGTACAAAAGATCAATGAAACAAAAAGTGAGTTTTTTGAAAAGATAAACAAAATCGACAAACTTTTAGCCATAGAAAAAGAGAAGACTCAAATAAACAAAATCAGAGATGAAAAAGGAGACATCACAACTGGTACCACATAAATTCAAAAGATCATTAGTGGCTACTACCAGCAACTATATGCCAATAAATTGGAAAATCTAGAAGAAACAGATACAGCTTACCAAGATAGAATCATGAAGAAATCCACAACCTGAGCAGACCAATAACAAGTAACAAGATTGAAGCTGTAATAAAAAGGCCCCTAACAAAGAAAAGCCTGGTACCTGATGTCTTCACTTCTGAATTCTGTGAAACATTTAAAGAGGAATTGATACCAATCCTACTCAAACTATTTCCAAAAATAGTGGAGGAAGGAGTGCTTCCAAACTCATTCTATGAGGCCAGTATTACCCTGATACCGAAACCAGAGAAAGACACATTAAAAAAAAAAAGAAAAAAAACTACAGGCCAATACTATTCTTAAATATTGTTTCAAAACTCAACAAAACACTAGTGAACCAAATTCAACAACACATTAAAAAGATCATTCATCAAGACCACGTTGGACTTATCCCAGAGATGCATGGATGTTTCAATGTATGCAAATTAATCAATGTGATGCATCATAACAATAGAACAAAGGACAAAGACGATATGATCATTTAAATTGATCCAGAAAAATTTGATAAAATTTATAACCAAAAAAGAGCTCTCATAAAATGGGTATAGAAGGAACATACCTCAACACAATAAAATCCGTATACAACAGACCCACAGCTAGTATCATAATAAATGGAGAAAAACAGGAGGCCTTTTCTCTAACATCTTAAAAAAGACAAGGATGTCTACTTTCACCACTGTTATTCAACATAGTACTGGAAGTCCTAGCTAGAATAATTAGAAAAGAGAAAGAAATAAAGAGCATCTAAATTTAAAGAGAAGAATTGAAATTATACTTGTTTGCAGATGATGTGATCTTATTCAGAAAAACCTAATGACTCCACACACACACACACACACACACACACACACACACACACAAACTATTGGAACTGATAAATAAAATTGAGTAAATTTACAGGAAACAAAATCAACATACAAAAAGCAGTAGCATTTTTATATGCCAACAGTGAACAATCTGAAAAAGAAATCAAGAAATAATCCTATTTGCAAAAGCCAAAAATAAAATAAAATGTCTGGGAATAAACTTAACCAATAGCGAAAGATTTCTACAATGAATACTATAAAAGATTGATGCAATAAGTTGAAAAAGACCCAAAAACAGAAAGATATTTTATCTTCATGAATTTGAATAATTAATCTTTCCTCAATGTCCATACTAACTAAAACAATCTACAGGTTCAATGCAATCCCTATCAAAATACTAATGGCATTCTTCACAGAAGTAGAAAAAAATCCTAAAATTTATATGGAACCACAAAGCACCCAGAATAGCCAAAGCTACCCTAAGCAAAAATAACAATACTGGAGGAATCACATTACCTGACTTCAAATTATACTACAGAGCTGTAGTAACCAAAACACCATGGTACTGGCATAAAAACAGATACATGTACCAATGGAACAAAATAGAGAACACAGAAATAAATCCATAAATCTACAGTGAACTCATTTTCAACAAATGTGCCAAGAACATACATTGGGGAAAGGAGAGTCTCTTCAATCAATGGTGTTGGAAAATCTGGATAACCACATGCAAAAGAATAAAACTAGACTCCTATTTGTTACCATATATAAAAATGAAATAAAATGGATAAAAAACTTAAATCTAAGACCTCAAATGAAGACTTTGGAGAAACTCTCCTGGACATTGATCTGAGCAAAAATTTCTTGAGTAATACCCCACAAGCACAGGCAAACAAAGCAAAAATGGACAAATGGGATCACATCAAGTTAAAAAGCTTCTGCACAGCAAAGGAAATAATCGCCAAAGTGAAGAGACAACCCAGAGAATGGGAGAAAGTATTTGCAAACAATCTATCTGACAAATAATTAATAACCAGAATATATAAAGAGCTCAAACAACTCTAGAGGAAAAAATGTAATAATCTGATTCAAAAATGGGCAAAAGATCTGAATAGACATTTCTCAAAAAAAGACATACAGCTGGCAAACAGGTATATGAAAGGTACTAATTATCAGAGAAATGCAAGTCAAGGCTATGATGAAATATCATCTCACCCTAGTTAAAATGGCTTTTATTCAAAAGACAGGCAATAACAAATGCTGGTGGGAATATGGAGAAAAGGAAAAACTCATACACTGTTGCTGGGAATGTAAATTAGTACAGCTACTATGTAGAACAGTATGTAGGTTCCTTAAAAAACTAAAAATACAGCTATCATATAATCCAATAATCCCACTTCTATGTATATACCCAGAAGAAAGTAAATCAGTATATAGAAGACATAGCTGCACCCGCATGTTTATTGCAGCACTATTCATAATAGCTGAGATTTGGAAGCAGCCTAATGTCTATCTACAAATGAATGAATAAACTGTGATACATATACACAATGGAATACTATTCAGCCATTAAAAATGAGATCCTGCTATTTAAAGCATCAACATGGATGGAACTAGAGGGAATTAAGTGAAACAAGCCAGGCACAGAAAGACAAAATTCACACGTTCTCACTCATTTGTAGGAGCTAAAAATTAAAACTATTGAACTCATAGATATAGAGTATAGAATAATGACTCCTTATTCCAGAGTTCTAATTTGATTGCACAGTGGTCTGAGAAACTGTTATGATTTCCATTCTTTTGCTTTTGCTTGGAAACTGAACAACCTGCTCCTGAATGACTACTGGGTAAATGATGAAATTAAGGCAGAAATAAATAAGTTCTTTGAAACCAATGAGAACAAAGACACAACATATCAGAATCTCTGGGACACAGCTAAAGCAGTGTTTAGAGGAAAATTTATAGCACTAAATACCCACAAGAGAAAGTGGGAAAGATCTAAAATCAACACCCTAACATCACAATTAAAAGAACTAGAGAAGCAAGAGCAAACAAATTCAAAAGGTAGCAGAAGACAAGAAATAACTAAGATCAGAGCAGAACTGAAGGAGATAGAGACACAAAAAAAAAACCCTTCAAAAAATTAATGAATCCAGGAGCTGGTATTTTAAAAAGGTTAACAAAATAGACTGCTAGCCAGACAAATAAAAAAGAGAGAAGATTCAAATAGACAATAAAAAATGATCCCACCACTGATCCCACAGAAATACAAACATCAGAGAATACTAGAAAAACCTCTATGCAAATAAACTAGACAATCTAGAAGAAATGGATAAATTCCTGAACACATACACCCTCCCAGGAAGAAGTCAAATCCCTGAATAGACCAATCATAAGTTATGAAATTGAGGCAGTAATTAATAGCCTACCAAAGAAAAACAGCCCAGGAACAGATGATTTCACAGCCAAATTCTACCAGAGGTACAAAGAGGAGCTGGTACGATTCCTTCTGAAATTATTCCAAACAATGGAAAAAGAGGGACTTCTCCCTAACTCATTTTATGCAGCCAGCATCATCCTGATACCAAAACCTGGCAGAAACACAACAATAAGAAGAAAATTTCAGGCCAGTATCCCCAATGAACATCAATGCAAAAATCCTCAATAAAATACTGGCAAACCTAATCCAGCAGCACATCAAAAAACTTACACACTACGATCAAGTTGGCTTCATTCCTGGGATGCAAGGGTGGTTCAACATATATAAATCAATAAACGTAATCCATCACATAAACAGAACCAATGACAAAAACCACATGATTACCTCAATAGATACAGAAAAGGCCTTCAATAAAATTCAACACTCCTTCATGCTAAAAACTCTCAATAAACTAGGTATCGATGGAACGTATCTCAAAATAATAAGAGCTATTTATGACAAATCCACAGCCAGTATCATATTGAATGGGTAAAAGCTGGAAGCATTCCCTTTGAAAACTGGCACAAGACAAGGATGCCCTCTCTCATCACTTCTATTCAACATAGTATTGGAGGTTCTGGCCAGGGCAATCAGGCAAAAGAAAGAAATAAAGGGTATTCAAATAGGAAGAGAGGAAGTAAAATTGTGTCCAGAATTGGTTCCTTCCGGTGGGTTCTTGGTCTTGCTGACTTCAAGAATGAAACTGCGGACCCTCGCAGTGAGTGTTACAGTTCTTAAAGATGGTGTGTCCAGAGTTTGTTCCTTCAGATGTTCAGATGTGTCCGGAGTTTATTCCTTCTGGTGGGTTTGTGGTCTCACCAACTTCAGGAGTGAAGCTGCAGACCTTTGCAGTGAGGGTTACAGCTCTTAAAGGCGGCGCGCCTGGAGTTGTTCATTCCTTCCAGTGGGTTTGTGGTCTCGCTGGCTTCAGGAGCAAAGCTGCAGACCTTCACAGTGAGTGTTACAGCTCTTAAAGGTGGTGCATCTGGAATTGTTCATTCCTCCCGGTGGATTTGTGGTCTTGCTGGCTTCAGGAGTGAAGCTGCAGACCTTCGTGGTGAGTGTTAAGCTCATAAAGCCAGTGCAGACCCAAAGAGTGAGCAGCAGCAAGATTTACTGCGAAGAGCGAAAGAACAAAGCTTCCACAGTGTGAAAGGGGACCCAAGCCGGTTGCTGCTGCTGGCTCTTCCAACAGCGTTTATTCCCTTATTTGGCCCCGCCCACATCCTGCTGATTGGTCCATTTTACAGAGTGCTGATTCGTCCATTTTACAGAGTGCTGATTGGTGCGTTTACAAATCTTTAGCTAGATACAGAGCACTGATTGGTGCATTTACAACCCTTTAGTTCGAAAAGTTCTCCAGGTCCCCACCCAATTAGCTAGACACAGAGTGCTGATTGGTGTGTTTACAAACCTTTAGCTAGACGCAGAGCGCTGATTGGTTTATTTACAATCCTTTAGCTAGACAGAAAAGTTCTCCAAGTCCCCACCCGACCCAGAAGCCCAGCCAGCTTCACCTCTCAAAATCGTCTCTGTTTGCAGATGACTTGATTGTATATTTAGAAATACCATAGTCTCAGCCCAAAATCTCCTTAAGCTGATAAGCAACTTCAGTCTCAGGATACAAAATCAATGTGCAAAAATCACAAGCATTCCTGCACACCAATAACAGACAAACAGCCAAATCATGGATGAACTCCCATTCACAATTGCTACAAAGAGAATAAAATACCTAGGAATACAACTTATAAGGGATGTGAAGGACCTCTTCAAGGAGAATTACAAACCATTGCTCAGGGAAATAAGAAAGGGCACAAACAAATGGAAAAAAATTCCATGCTCATGGATAAGAAGAATCAATATCATGAAAATGGTCATACTGCCCAAAGTAATTTATAGATTCAATGCTATCCCCATCAAGCTACCATTATGACTTTCTTCACAGAATTAGAAAAAAATACTTTAAATTTCATATGGAACCAAAAAAGTGCCCGTATAGCCAAGACAATCCTAAGCAAAAAGAACAAAGCTGGAGGAATCACACTACCTGACTTCAAACTATACTACAAGTCTACAGTAACCAAAACAGCATGGTACTGATACCAAAACAGCATGGTATTGGTACCAAAACAGATCTACAGACCAATGGAATAGAACAGAGGCCTCAGAAATAATGCCATACATCTGCAACCATCTGATCTTTGACAAACCTGACAAAAACAAACAATGGGGAAAGGCTTCCCTATTTAAAAAATGATGTTGGGAAAACTGACTAGCCATATGCAGAAAACTGAAACTGGACCCCTTCCTTACACCTTATACAAAGTTTAACTCAAGATGGATTAAAAACTTAAACATAAGACCTAAAACTATAAAAACCCTAGAAGAAAACCTAGGCAGTACCATTCAGGACATAGGCATGGGCAAACACTTCATGACTAAAACACCAAAAGAAATGGCAACAAAAGCCAAAATTGACAAAAGGGATCTAATTAAACTAAAGAGCTTCTGCACAGCAAAAGAAACTATCATCAGAGTGAACAAGCAACCTACAAAATGGGAGAAAATGTTTGCAATCTATCCATTTGACAAAGGGCTAATATCCAGAATCTACAAGGGACTTAAACAAATTTACAAGAAAAAACAACCCCATCAAAAAGTGGGCGAAGGATATGAACAGACACTTCTCTAAAGAAGACATTTATGTGGCTAACAAACATGAAAAAAAGCTCATCATCACCGATAATTAGAGAAATGCAAATAAAAACCCAAGGAGATATCATCTCATGCCAGTTAGAATGGCGATCATTTAAAAAGAAAACAACAGATGTTGGAGATGATGTGGAGAAATAGGAACACTTTTACACTGTTGGTGGGAGTGTAAATTAGTTCAATCATTGTGGAAACAGTGTGGCAATTCCTCAAGGATCTAGAACCAGAAATACCATTTGACCCAGCAATCTCATTACTGGGTATATACCCAAAGGATTATAAACCATTCTACTATAAAGACACAGGCACACGCATGTTTATTGCAGCACTATTAATGACAGCAAAGACTTGGAACCAACTCAAATGCCCATCAATGATAGGCTGGATAAAGAAAATGTGGCACATATATACCATGGAATACTATACAGCCATAAAAAAAGGATAAGTTCATGTCCTTTGCTGGGACATGGATGAAGCTGGAAACCATCATTCTCAGCAAACTGACACAGGCAAAGAAAACCAAACACCACATGTTCTCACTCAGCAGTGGAAGTTGAACAATGAGAACACATGGACACAGGGAGGGGAACATCACACACTAGGGCCTGTCGGGGGGTGGTGGACTAGGGGAGGGATAGCATTACCAGAAATATCTAATGTAGATGACAGGTTGATGGGTGCAGCAGAGCACCATGGCACGTGTATACCTATGTAACAAACCTGCATGTTCTGCACATATATCCCAGGACTTAAAGTATAATAATAAGAAAAAAGAATGATGATTACCAAGGTCTGGGAATGGTAGTTGGTATGGGAATGGGGATGGTTAATAGGTTAAAAAAAATACATAGAATGAATAAGGTCTGGTACAATGGGGTGCTTACAGTCAATAATAATTTATTGTACATTTAAAAATAACTGAAAGTATAATTGCAGTGTTCGTAAGACAAAGAAATGGTAAGTGTTTGAGGTGATGGATACCCTGTTTTTCATTATGTGATTATTATGCACTGTATTCCCGTTCAAAATATGTCATGTACCCCATAAATGCACATATCTACCATGTACACCAAAAATTAAAAATGAAAAATTTTTAAAGTATACAAATGAAAAAATTTAAAACAACAGGTCTCTGGGTCAGGATCAGATAACCACATCACAGAGAAAAGCATATTGAAAGCCTCTGAGCGCCCAAACTAAAGGGACTTACCTAGGGTACAAAATCAACTTTCCAAATAAGATAATTCTTTGCTTGGAGAACTGAAGATCAGAAACCAGGATGAAACTGGCCCAATTTTAAACTTACATCCTTTCTTAGAAAATCGACTTTCAGGCCTCCCAGATGATATTAGGGAGATGAGGCTACTGGGATCCCCACACCTGGGCAATAAGACACATCTGCTGCCTATTGACCAATTCCCCTTCCTTACCTTATCTCTCTCTAGTTTCTATTTTTCTGCCTGTGGTTACAGTGAAATACTAGAGTCCTTATCTGACCACCTGCTGCTTGTTAACCAACTCCACTTCCCTGCCTCTCTTTCTTCCTTCTCCGTTGTGTAAACCCCTAACTTTTGTCAGAGAGGAGAAACGGATTTGAGATTTGGCTCCAATCTCTCTGGCAGATGTTACTCATAAAATAAAGTGTTTTCTTTTTTTCTTTCCTGGTGATGCTCATTGTTTCGGTGACTGGTTTTCTGTGTGGTAAGCAATGGGATTTGGACCAAACCCCTGGGGTTTGGTAACAATTACATGACATGGATCAACAGCAATCCAGCTGCTCTCCTCTCAAAAGCCAAAACTTGAGACATGAGGGTTGGTGGGAGGAAAAGCAGGTTTAGTCGCAGAGGCAACAAACTGAGAATATGGTGGACTAGCATCTCAAGTTGGTACAAATTTCAGGCTCTTTTTCTGTTAAGGACAGGGGGAAAAGAGCGGGTTGGGATCAGGAGGTGACTGATGATCTCAGACATCTGGGCACCAGAGAGGGTCCAAGGAGGTTGGGAACACCTTTGTCTTTAGTCAGTTCATGATGCTCCTATTAACTCAACAAAACATTTTTAGTTGTTAACATACTTCTTCTTTAATCCCAGAGTTAGTTTCAAAAACTATATGATTGCTGTTTTTGCATTTTATCTCTGTGTTCTAAAATTATCCTAGCCTGTGTTGAGGAATGAGTAAAGGCCCTTAAACAAAAATGGAGTGTTACATTAGTTTATTTGTTGTTGCACTGTTAGATTTTCCCCATCTTTTTGTTTTAAAGACAATGGCATTTGTAAAAGCCTATGGGCTGGAAAATCTTTGGATACTCACTTCTCTTGTTCTTAAAAGAATCAAACAAATAAGGAAACTGAAGGCTGATAAATACAATTTTTGACAATTTGATTTTTAAGTTTCCTTTTCACTATTTGATGGGCTTTTGATAGTGGAAAGAGAAAAAGAAAAAGAAATATGGAGAGAGAGAGAGAGAGAGAGAGAACAAACATAAAACTTGAAAGAAAACTCCACACCTCTGCAGATAGGCACATATGAATGACTCCCCACGCCAGCATGCTACATATGAGAACTAGAAACTATGAGTAGAAAAAGTTGCTTATTGGTGGAAATGGCTCAATAATAATAGTGAAAAAATTGTATTGAATATATAGGAATATAGGATCCTTACTTGCTCTTCATGTACCAAAGGCCATTGATTGGTTGGACTGATGTTACAAATTTATTAGTCAGTAAGGAATATTAGAATTTAAAAGGAAAATACTAGGTGAATCCCAAGTCATTAGAGAAGCAATTCAAAGATAATCCATTGACATTATTTTAGAGTACATAATATTTGATTCAATGATTCGTTCTTTAGGGGATTTGTCTTAATACATTAAGTGTGTGTTTGTGTTTGTGTGGGTGCCTGCAATGTTCAGTATGTACAATAGTGTTGTCCTACCTGGGAAACAGGTGAATATACCAACCAACAGCCTGAAAGAAACCTACTGCAACTGACCTGCAAATATTTGCTATTGTAGGCCACTAAGATTTGTGGGATTATGTGTAAGGCAGTATTATATATAGCAGGAATCTGATTTATCAATTCAGCAGATGATAAATTAATTTGATAAGTCTGACTTCAAAAAACAAGGCTCTGTCTCTGGCAAAGATACTCAGGGTTATAATTTGAATTGATTAAGTGAAGATTATTAACTTACCTTTAGAATATTGGCTCACAAAGTAATATTCCAACTCTTCAAATTTTACCATTTCTATTTTAGATGTTCCGTTCCCTTGACTTCTTTGGTTTTGGTAAAAATAAAAATAGATATTCATATTTTTCCAAATTATTTTTGAATTATAGCCACCTTTTCAGGCAGATTCTACACATAACTACAATTCATTTCTTTAGCCAAAGGATAACTGGGCTTTCGAGCATTTAATAAGAAATCAAGGGGCTGCAAGTTCCAGAAGAATATTGTGAATGTAGGAGAAATCCTAAGATTCTTGGACAATAGCCAACACAATGGAATATTCTCCCTGTTACCTCCAAGAAACCTGACTTCCTAGTCCAGAGTTTGTACTAATAAGGTTTGAAGTATTGGCAAATTCATGTCTATTTTCTGGTTTTAATATTTTCAGTCAAATAGTTGGATGAGTAGAATAGTGCTGCAGAGTTTATACCCTTCATTGGTGACTTGGGCATACCAAATTGAATAGGAGATAGGGAATGGGGGATCAGATTGAGGTAAAAATGTCCAGAAACCTTTGCTCTTGATTCAAATGTATAAAAAATCCATCTTTAATCTATTTTTCCTATTGAGACTACAGGTAATTTCTTAATGAGAGGTCCACAGCTAAAAACATTAAAAATCCTTGGGAGGCCGAGGTGGGTGGATCATGAGGTCAGGAGATCGAGACCAACCTGGGTAACACGATGAAACCCCGTCTCTACTAAAAATACAAAATATTAGCGGGGCGTGGTGGCGGGCGCCTGTAGTCCCAGCTACTCCGGAGGCTGAGGCAGGAGAATGGCTTGAACCCGGGAGGCGGAGCTTGCAGTGAGCCGAGATTGTGCCACTGCACTCCAGTCTGGGTGACAGAGTGAGACTCCGTCTCAAAAAAAAAAAAAAAAAATTAAAAAATCCATTAGCTGAAACAGTTTCAAGCATTCTTTCTACATAAAATTCTCACAGACCCTAGTAAAGGAAGATGCAATAAAGATTTTAAGTTTGAAGGTGAAAATTACCTTTTTTGCTGCTTTAATTTCAGTTTAATTTTTACTTTGAGGAAATAGTAAATCTTTATTCCTACAGCAGTCTTTCTCTGTCATTCCATCTTTTGTTTTAGTTTTGTGATAACCCTTCCCCAGTTTATTAAGTCAACAGCATGCTCCAGATATGATGTAGACATATTATTGTTTTAGGAAAGTCTGTAAGCAATTGCAATCAACAATTTATGCCATACCTTAAAGGATAATAACTGTGATTCATTTTAGAAATGGTTGTTATAATCGAACCATTAAAATTCCATGACAAACTGCCATTCACAAACATTAAAATGAAACAGTGCCTGTTTTGAAGATTTTCTTAAATAGTGAAAACTGTTCTGTTAGCTATTTGCTTTGTCAAAGAACATTAAGTCTCACCACGGCAGATTCCAGCAGAGTCAAGTTTCTCTAAAGTTGTAGCTTAATCAAACATTTGCTAATGAAAATTAATGAAAGTGATATAACTTTCTTAATTCAAAAAGTCTTACAGAAGACATAAGGGATCTACAAAAATATATGTTAAGATTGAAAATAAATTGACCAAAGATTATTAGGCCAAGAAGTTTCAATTAAGTAATGCAAAGAAGTGTCCTGATTTGCCACCAGAAATAGAACTTACGTGTCCATGGAGTAAATGGATGACTCAACCAGGAGACCAAATTAGATTCTTTTATGTTAACAATTTATAAAAACTTAACCTGAAAAACACTGTGTGTTTCTGGGTCCTGGATCTCTCATCTACCAGCTGAAAGTCTTGGACTATGTATTGTTTGAGACACTCTTAAAGTTATGATCATGTAATGAGAAAGTTATGATACTAATTAACATATGATATTTGCTTCATCCCCTAGACTGAACTCAAATTGTATTGTGTCCATGTTTTGTCAAAAATGCATTTAATATATCTCCTTAACTTTTAGCATACAGACTAAATTCCTTACTTGGCATGTATATAGTAACTTAGTCTATTTGTGCTACAGTAACAAAATACCTAAGACTGGGTAATCTGTAAGTAATAGACATTTATTTCTCACAGTGCTGGGGATAGAAGGTCCAAGATCAAGATGCAGGGAGGTTTGGTGTCTAGTGATGCCTGCTCTTTTTTGAAGTTGGTGACTTTTTACTATAATCCTCCCACGGCCAAAACAGATGGAGGTTAAAAAGGATGACCTCACCCCTTCAAACATTTTATAAGCGCTCTAATCCCATCCCCTAGCATCAGAGCTCTCATGGCCTTATCACCTACTACTAAAGGCTCTGCCCCTTAGTACTGTTGCATTGCGGATAAAGCTGCAACATAAATTTAGGGAGGGACGCAAATCTTCAAACCATAGCATCCTGCCCCAAATCTCCCAAAATGTATGTCCTTCTCATAAACAAAACTCACTCAATCCATTCCATAACCTCCAAAGTTTTAATTCCCTCTAGCATCAACTTTAAAGTCTAAGTCCAAATTTTCATTTAAATATTATCTAATTCTGATATGGGTGAGACTTAAAGTGTGATTCATCCTGAGGCAAATTTATCTCAGCTGTAAGCCTGAGAAATCAAACAAGTTATATTCTTCTAAAATACAATAGTGAGTCAGGCATAGGATAGACATTCCCATTCCAAAAGGGAGAAACAGAAAGGAAGAAAGGGGTAATAGGTTCCATCCAAATCCAGAACCTAGCAAGGCAAGCACTAAATCTTAACTCTTCAGAAAAATATTCTTTCCCTCCATGAACCACCTTCTGAACACACTGGGGTAGGGATTGGCTCTCAAAGCTCCTGGCAGCCCCACTCCCACCCCTTTGCTGGGTGCAGTTCACATGACAGCTCTCCAGGGTTGGAGTCACATGCCTGTGGCTTTCCCAGGCTGTAGTTGCACACTGGCAGCTCTATAGCTCTGGCATCTTGAGAGTAGCCCTGCCCCAGGATCCCACTAGAGCCCCATGATCCCCTCAGAGCCCTCGTGAGGATGCTCTATGTGGGCCATGCCCCTCCCCCAGTCCTCTGCCTGGGCCCTGAGGCTCTCTGAGACATCCTTTGACATCTACTTGGAGGTAAGCATGTCTCCATAGGTAATTCACTCTGTATACCGAGAGTTGGCCAGGCAGAGACACCACAAAGGTTTATGGCTTGTTTCTTTTGGAGGTGTGTCCCAAGCTGCACCAGGGACCACTCAAGCCACACAGAGGGAAAAAAATGAGCACTGCACCTTAATGCTGGGAGCAGTCTTGAAGCAGGAGACGGCAGTGAGTGCTCAGGTTCCAAGGGCACCTGAAGCCCCTTTTATGACATCGTTCTGTTGTCCAGGCCTTAGCACTCTGGGCTTGTAATGGGAGGGGCAATGCTGATCATCTCTGAAGAGCCATCAGGGTCATTTTCCCATTGACCTGATGAACAGCACTTGGTTTATTCCCATTCATTGGTGTTTTCACCTGAATATAATTTCTCATTTTTTGCAAGCTGAGAACTTTCCAGCTCCTTAGGTTCTGCTTCCCTTTTGATTATAAATGTTCCCTTTACTTAGCTTCTCTCTTCCCACATTTTACTACAACCAGTTAAACCACCTCATGCCACACCCTCAACCCTTTGCTTATATATTTCTTCTCCCAAATATCCTAGTTTATTGCTGTTAAATTCTGCCTTCCACAAAGCCCCAGGGAATGGATACAATTCAGCCAAGTTTGTTGCCACTTTGTAACAAGGATGGCCTTTTCTCCAGTTCCCAGTAAGACATTCTTTATTTCTGTCTAAGATGTCATCAGAATGGCCATTGCTGCCTATACTTCTACCAACATTCTCATCACAAACACTTAGATAATCTCTAAGAAGATTTAGTCTTCTCTACAGCTCTCTTCTTTTGAACCTTCACCAGAATTGCCTTTAATGCTCCATTCATGGCAATATAAGCTTTTTCTTTTTTTCTTTTTTTTTTAACTCTTATTTTAGTTTCAGGGTTACATGTGCAGGTTGGTTCTACAGATAAATTGAATGTCACAGGGGTTTGGTGTATATGCTATATCATCACCCAGGAAATAAGCATAGTGTCCTATCCAATGAGTACTTTTTCAATCCTTTTCTAGCAGGTATCTCAAAACTCATTCACCCTTGACTCATTACCCAGTTTCAAAGCCAATTCTGCATTTTCAGGTATTTGTTATAGTAACACCCTACTTCTCAGTCCCAGTTACTGTCTTAGTTTGTTTGTGCTGCTATCATAAAACATCTGGGACTAGATAATTTATAAATAATAGAAATGTATTTCTCACTGATCCGGAGGCTGGGAAGTTCATAATCAAGGTGCAGGCAGGTTCAGTGTCTGGTGAGGGCTGAGTCTCTACGTTGAAAATGGTGCCTTGTTGCTACATCCTCCAGAGGCAAGTGCCTCGATGTTCTCACTCAGCAAAAGGGCAGAAGGGGAAAAGCAGGAGCCTAGCTGACTACTTCCCATCAGCCCTTTAAGGCATTAATCCCATCCATGAGCACTCTAATGACCTCCTAAAGGTTTTGCTGCTGTGCTGGGGACTAAATTTCAACGTGAATTTCGGAGGGGGCAGCACAGACATTACTATTGCATGTACATACAGT
The DNA here is from genome assembly GCF_000001405.40 of Homo sapiens. Classification (NCBI taxonomy): domain Eukaryota; kingdom Metazoa; phylum Chordata; class Mammalia; order Primates; family Hominidae; genus Homo; species Homo sapiens. The sequence continues at coordinate 137,731,688 of NC_000008.11, read as the reverse complement.
GTGGAAAATTAGGGGGCCACTCTGTGTACAGATCTTTTCAAGAGCCATGAGTGCAATAAACAGGTCCCTTGTTTTCTGTAATCTTTAGTTCCATAATCTAAATACTAAAGAAAATTATGCCCCATTTGAAGATGTTTTTGTGAGAAATAAAGTGGATAACAGAAAATAACTTGAATGATAGAGGCGCTGAATGAATAGCAACTGATTATGGTATAATTATTAGGTAAATAGTATAGAAAATTTTAGCACTATCCATGTATTCTTAATGTTGTAGCCATGGAAGTTATTTGTTTAGCAAAAATATTTAACAGGACACATTGTCTAAGGTTGATTAAAAAACACATCTCAAAATTTCTTAGGTACAATAAAAATGTATTAGCTCATGGAAATGTGAAGGGGAAATAATATAGATACAAACAATTTTATTAAGTGACTCCCTATTACCGTAATAATTTCGCCATCTTTCATCTTTGCATCATACCATTCACTGGCTTTAACTTCTGTTTCCTTCACTTGGTGGGGATTTGGCCACCTCCAACTCCTAGCATTTAAATTTCACAGCTAGAAAGAAATAAATCTTCTTATACCTAGAGTATTAGTCTGTTCTTGCATTTATATAAAGAAATACCTGAGGCCGGGTAGTTTACTTTAAAAAGAGGTTTTTCAGCTCACAGTTCTGCAGGTTGTATAGGAAGCTTGGTACCCATGTCTGCTTCTGGTGAAGCCTCAGGAAGCTTTCACTCATGGCAGAAGGTGAAGGGGGAGCAGGAGCACCAAATGGCTAGAGCAGGAACAAGAGAGGGAGAAGGAGGAGGTCCCAGACTCTTTCAACAACCAGAGCTCATGGGAACTAAGCCAGTGAGAATGCCCTTAACACCAAGGGTGCTAAATCATTCATGAAGAATTTGTCCACATGGTCTAATCACCACCCACCAGGCCCCACCTCCAACACTGGGAATCATGTTTCAACACAACATTTGAGGGGGACAAGCATCCAAACCATATAACCTAGGTATAATTATTATGATTCTGGAGAATAACTGAGAGTAACCAAGCTTGGTTGCATGTCTATCCCTCAAGACAATCACCGTGACTAAGAAGTGGAAGCACTGATTAATCCAGCTGAAGCCCAACGCCCATTTCTCAAGCTACTACAATAGCCAAGGGAGCAGGGAACACCTCATGTCACAAGAATTGAAGAGGCTGGGTTGTTGCATAGATGAGGCCATTGGGTATATGTTGATAAGCCCAACAATACTACTGGGCTGTTCAGTAAGTCTGTTCAACAGTAAGCAGCTGATATCTAGACAGTTCCAAACCCAGTTTTCACTGGTGTTCCGTGCTGCATCATCCCCATACCTAAGGACCACTGTGTCTCATTTTCAGCAAAACTAGAATGGTGTTTCCTTTAGGACTGAAGATTGGCACCTACGGGTCCAGCACAAAAGCTAAGGATTCTGTTGGGGAACATAGCAGTCTGGCCTCTACCTCAGGTTTGCACCTCTCTTGCCATAGGACCTTGGAGTCACTAAGTCATCATTCTGACTCTCGATTTCCACATGCATAGAATAAGAAGTCTCCAATACAGGGTCTCTCCAACTCTATTTTTTCTAAACTTTACCTACATGCTTGTTCTCTGTTTCAAAGATATTTACTAGAGCTTTTCATTAACATGAGTTTTTCCTGACATTACCCTTTTTCTAATTTAAATGCCTATTTTTTTAAGAAAAATATGTTTTGTATTTTAAGAATATTTACTCTTTAAAAATGAGTTAAAAATATGAGTTCAATAAATTAGCTACTTTCAAGCTATCATCAATTAGTATTATTTCCTGGGAAAGGCTTTCTATTTTCTCTTATCTCCTGGATAATGTAAAGGATAAATTCACATGGTTCCTCTTCAGACTTTATTAATTTAGCATTTATAGTCTTGCTTATTTTGCTCTCTTTGTGCTATCATCTCTTAGAATGACCTTTAAAATGTTCAATTTCCTGGTAACTTCCTGTTGTTCGTTATTTTCATAGAATTCAGAATTCACAGACAAACTGTGGACTACCAGATATTTTGCATTTCTACTATAAATGACTATCAAAAATATAAACTAGTTGGGTATATTCTATTTCTATGCTTTTATAGGATTCTTTTTGCTTAGGAAGAGTTCTTAATAGTATTATAGATTCTGAGACCTGCTCTGGGGAAAGTGGCCCCATCTTCTTATTTACAGGTGTCCTGACTGTACTTAGGGCATATGTGTCCTCAAAGAATAAAAAACACTTGTAAAATAATTAAGAGAAGTAGAGGTTTTAATGTTTTCTTTTTCTTATAACTTCCACCAAATTTTAAACTTCCTGAAAGAGACTGTATCTAACTTGCTCACAATTGTTTCTTCAGAGCCTAGCCGATCCAGGCACATACCAGATGCTCAACAGGTAAATATTAGAAGAGAGAATGTCTAAAGCTGCTGCTCTGTAGTTGTTGAGATGTAAATATGATGCCTTCCCAGAGTCAAATATTTTATTACCATATTCTAGGCATTTTCTATATAGCTCCCCACTGAGGGGAGAAAAGAAAGATGTGATGCCTTTAATTTCAATGTACACAAAAATCTACTAGGGAGATTAGATAGAGGTTTTAATCATAATTTGTTGTAATTGATTTTACTAATGTGAAAAGAGTCTCTTGTCTCTGTCCCATGTGGGCTTCACAATACAAGCGTGAGAGCTTCCCCTCCCGCTCTCCTCCATGAATGGCTGTGGGCTTATAGATGTCCTGGGATGATGTAGGGGAGCTTTCCCTGTGGGGTGTCCAAACCACTTGCCATGTAAGAACCAGAAGCACCTCTATGTTGTTGCTTTCACTCAAATGCTCCTCCTCCTCACCATCCTCATCATTATAAGAGCACTGATAATAAGGGCTACCATTCTTTTCAAATTTTTGCGTCAGGCAATAATCCAAAAGCTTCACGTTTAACTCATTTAATTCCACACAGCCCTGTGAGGTAGTTTCTATCATCTCCCAGATGAAAAACCTGGGGTACTAACAAGGAGACTAATTCACTGGCAGTGACACAACTAGAAAGAGAAGACCTAGACTGAGAATGTCTGCAACCAGACCTCAAAGTGGCCTGCCTTGCTGCTCTGGAATCGCTGGAGCGGCATCTGATATTTAGTGGATATTCACTGCATGCCTGTCCCTACTCTGTTATCTCATTTAATGCTAGTGAGAAACTTGTGAGGAAGGTATTTTATTACCATTTACAGATGAGTAAACAGAGAAACATGAAAGGAGGGTGAACCAGGATCCCACAGTCACACAGCGGCTCAGTGGATTCAGAGGGCTGACAACTTTGGACACGGGGTCTCTTAGACTTTCTTCTGGCTGAGCGCGCTGGCTCACACCTATAATCCTAGTACTTTGGGAGGCCGAGGCAGGTGGATCACAAGGTCAGGAGATCGAGACCATCCTGGACAACATGGTGAAACCCCATCTCTACTAAAATACAAAAAACAGCCAAAAAAAATTAGTCTGGCGTGGTGGCAGCACCTGTACTCCCAGCTACTCGGGAGGCTGAGGCAGGGGCATTGCTTGAACCTGGGAGGTGGAGGTTGCACTGAGGAGACTGTGCCACTGCACTCCGGCCTGGCGACAGAGCAAGACTCCTTTTCAAAAAAAAAAAAAAAAAAAAAGACTTTCTTCTATGCACTTTCCTAATCAAAACCAATAACACTGATATGTCAACATATGAAGACCATCTACTCCAATACTCACTTTATATGAGGTGTTCCTTTTAACACTCATAAAAACTCCATTTTACACATAAGAAACCTGAAGACACAGAGAGGTTAAGACTCACAAGATTCCAGCATTAGTAAATGGCAGAGCTTGAGTTTGAATCCAAGCCATCTAACTCCAGAAACCAAGCTACTAACTGCTGTGCTAAACTGTCTCTTAGGCCTGTGGGCGGAAAGGGCAGACACCAACACTGAGGAAGGGAGGATGGGTCCCCTAATATGACAGACACCCTTTATGATGTGGTCACATGCTGACTTACAGTGCTCTGCCAGTGACCCCATTAGGCTTTTGTATCAAACCGTTCCCCTGCAGAGCTGCTTCTTGGAGTATCTTGCCCTGGACTGCTCCAGAATAGCTCATAGTCTAATAGCTAGACTGTTGGATCCAGCAGTGCCCATTTCCTCCCCATGAATTTCTCCTTAGAGCTTTGCCTTTCTTTGAAGAAAGACCTCAACTGCAGCTGCTGCCCTAAATGTTTTATCTATCACAGTGGTCCACAAAGAGAGCCATGCCAGCAAAGGAGCCTCCGAGTTTGCAATGGTTTCTTTTTCCTTTGCCCTTCCTTCCTTCCTTCCTTCCTTCCTTCCTTCCTTCCTTCCTTCCTTCCTTCCTTCCCTCTCCTTCCTTCCCTCCCTCTTTGCCCTCTTCCCCTTCCGGTTCCCCTTCCCCTTCTCCTCTCCTCTCCCCTCCCCTCTCCTTCCCTCCCCTCCCCTCCCCTCCTCTCCTCTCCTCTCCTTTCCTTTCCTTTCATGTGATATCAAACAGAAACATATCTTCATTCCTTTCATTGGACCTGAGATTCGGGATACTTAGCTGTAATTCTCTAAGTGATGCAGACAGCAAATGCCTCATTCGAAATCAGTAACTGGGATTTTCTATTCCAGGTTCAGTGTCTTTTATGCTAACCTAAGCCAGCTCCTTGACAATTCCAGGACAACATAGGAACAGGAGAAATGCACTTGCCCCATGTCACCAGTGTCAATACAGTGCTTACTCTATAATTTAGATGACATGGTGAAAATTTTAGATCAAATTCTGGAAAATTGTTTTATTTCCCTTTGTTGAAACTGCTAACATATATAAAACTTACCAGATTCAAATTGAAGCAAGATCTTTTCCTTTCATTTCATCAAAATGATTTAAAACAATAGGCACTGATATATTTAAATCAAACTATTTGCATTCTTTTTATAAAGTTGGAAACTATTTTAATAACCCGTGAAGGGTAAACTGAACCATGACAGACGGAAGAATTAATTTGCTGGTAATCATGTTAATTTTATCAACATGCATATTCGAATGAGGATAGAAAATGTCTTGCAGAGAGAGAGATGTGTAGTATATAAATCTCTAGTTGAATTATAATTATTACTATAAAATGTGGCAGGCTGAAAAAATTGGAATAATAAAATATAATAGAATGACTTCCTTGATATCAAAGACAGAGTGGGAAGGAGCCAATGAGAGACAAAGAAAACCTGATTTTATGGCCACTTCTGAAACTGCATCTGTATGAACTGAATTTTATATCAGATGAGTCAAATCCCATTTTTAGAGCACCAGCTGAGTTGCTGTTTTGAATGTCTCCTAAAATGGAAATTTTCAAGGCATAGCAAAAAGGGGTCACTGACATAAAAAATCAAGAATAAAATATGGTGCTTCAAAAAATCCCAAGTCTTACCTGCTTATGTGAATTACTGATTCTTCTGTGTTTGTTCTAAAGCAATCAGTATTTGCAGGGGTTGAAGCTAGGTGGCAGCAGGGAGTAACTTTTGACAGAGCTGCTATTTTTAATCCTGACAAACATCTACATTCATGGTAAAGTACTCAGTTCATAAATAATTCATGGTGTGTAATGGGGGAAATACTGCTATGAGAATGTTCTTCCAATGTGCGTGTTTTGTTTTGTTTTGTTTTTCCCAAAAGCATATAAACTGAACTAAATGTTTTCAAGATTATTTGAATTCATGCCACCTGAACTTCCTGCTTTGGGATTATGAGGACGTTTTCTCAGACAGATTCGAATACTTTAGTGAGATGTACTGATAGGGCTGAGATGAGGACCAGAAATAGTCCTAACAACCATTGTTAGTTTTAAACAGTAATTATATTAGTTGGCCACTGTAGATGTTTGCCAACATTTAATAACATCTTATTTAATTTATTCCTTATTATACATTTAGTTATTTTCACATTATTTCACATATGCATTTTCTCTCTTTTTTTGATATTTTGTTTCTCTACACATTATGTATACGGTGATACTGATACTGGATGAATATTCATCCTAGATACTCTTTTCCATAAAGTGCTTAATATATTGAGCATCTACTATGTGTTTATTTTATTTTTTGTTTTTTAAATTGAGATATAATTCACATAATATAAAGTTAACCAATCTGAAGTTTATGATTTAGCAGTTTTTGGTATATTTATAGGTATAATCATCACCATTAATTCCAGAATATTTTCATCACCATACACCAAAAATACAGGTTTGAGGCTCTATTCCCTTTCTGCCCACAAACCCTGACATGTGATCTGTGTTCCTCTATGGACTTGTTTATTCTGGGTGTTTCATATAAATTGAATCATATAATATATGGTCTTTATGCCTGGCTTCCTTCATCTACCAGAATGTTTTGAAGGCTCATCCATGTTGTAGCATGCGTCACCACTGCATTCCTTTTTATGGTTGAATAATATTTCATTGTATTTTATGTCACCTTTTTTTTACCTATTTATCTGTTGATAGATATTAGGTTTGTGTCCATTTTGGGACTATTAGAAATAACAACGCTGTGAATATTCAAGTATAAGTGTTTGTGTGAACATAACGCTTACAGTTCTCTTGGGTGTATACCGAGGAGTGGCATTGCTGGATCATATGGCAACTTGTGTTTAACTTACTCAGCAACCAAATTGTTTTCCAAAGTGGATGCACTATTTTACGCTTACATCTTTGTCTTGTTCCTGATCTTAGAGCGAAAGTTTTGCTTCTTTTGACACTAAGTATGGTGTTAGCTGTGGACTTTTCATAGATGCTTTTATTAGCATGAGAATATTTTTATGCTATTCCTAGTTTGCTGAATGTTTTTACTAAAAGGGTGCTGGACTTTGGAAAGTGGATTTACTATATTTATTGAGATGAACATGTTCTTGTCTTGTTTTGCTTTCTTAGTCTATTTATATGGTGTATTACATTGGTTGATTTTGACATATTGAACCATTTTTGCATTTCTGCATTTCTGGAGTAAATCTCACTTGGTCATGGTATATGATCCTTTTTTCTATATTTAGTTTGCTAGAATTTTGTTGAGGATTTTTTGTGTACATATCATAATGAATATTGGTCTATACTTTTTTGTGAAGTCTTGTCTGCTTTTGGGTTTAATGTGATACTGGCCTGATATAATGAATTAAGATGTGTTCTTTATTTTCTGTTTTGAGAAGAATTTTGAAGTTAGCTCTATGTTAAGGTGATTCTTTAAACATTTGGTGGAATTCACTACTTTACTGAAAGCATCCATGCTTGAGCTTTCATTTATTGGAAGTTTGTTATAATTCTACCTAGATTCATGATATGATTTTTTTCTTGAGTTTTTCAATTATATCTGAGCTATTGAGTTTTTTAACATAACATTCTTCACATTTCTTCTTTATAATATTTTGTATTTATGTAAGTTGGGTAGTAGTGTCTCCTCTTTTATTCCAGATTATAGTAAGTGAAGTGTTTTTTTCATTTTTTTTAATTGCTCAACTTAAAGCTTGCCAATTTTGTTGATCTCAAAGAACCAATTTTGGTTTTGTTGATTTTTTCTACTGTTATTTTGTATTTTATATTTTGTTTTATCTAAAATCACACAAATATTTATTTTTTTTCTACTTGCATTGAGTTTAACTGCTTTCGTTTTTGTAGTTTCTTAAAATGGAGTGTTGGCTCACTGATACGACAGCTTTCTTATTTTTTACCATAAGAATTTATAGTTAATAATTTTCCTCTGAGTCTTGTTTTCTCTGAATTCTATAAGTTTTATCAATTTGTGTTTTCATTTTACTCATCTCAAATTATTTTCTAAATTCGTTCGTCATTTCTTCTTTGATCTATTGGCTGTTTAGGAACATGAAATTTAGTGTCTGTGTATCTGTGACTTTTTTCATTCGTTTATTTCTAATCTCAATCCTTTGTGGTTGGATAATATACTTTGTATTATTTCAATGCATCTAAATATAGTTACACCATAGAATACTATGCAGCCATAAAAAAGAACAAGATCATGTTTTTTACAGGAACATGGATGGAGCTGGAGGCCATTGTTCTTAGCAAACTAAAAGAGGAACAGAAAACCAAATACCACATGTTCTCATTTACAAGTAGGAGCTGAATGATGAGAACTCATGGACACAAAAAGGGGAACAACAGACTGGGGCTTACTTGAGGACAGAGGGTGGGAGGAGAAAGAGGAGCAGAAATAACAACTATTGGGTACTAGGCTTAGAAATAATCTGCACAACAGGCCCCCATGATATGAGTTTACCTATATAACTAATCTGCATATGTACCTCTGAACTTAAAATAAAAGTTTTAAAAAAATTATTTAAACTTGTTTAATGGCCTAATATTTGTTCTTTTCTGAAGTATATTTTATGTACGTTGAAAATAATGTATATTTTGCTCTTGTTGTGTGGTGAGTTCTATATTTTAGGTCTAGTTGGTTAGTAGATTCTTTCTTTTTGTTGCTATTTTTTAATCTAGTTGGTATAGTCATTAGTGGAAGTGGCATATTGAAGTCTGCAAATCTAGACAGATTATCTATCCAAGTCTCTGTTTTCGCACAAAGTATTTTGAGGCTGTGGTTAGGTGTATATACATTTGATATTTTATCTGTATGATAGATTAAGCTTTTTATCATTATGGAATGTTTTCCTCTCACTCTAGGAATATTTTTTACCTTACAGTTTTATTTATATGGTATTAGTATAGTTACTTCAGCTCTCCTGTATGGCACATATTTTTTCATTGTATTACTTTCAAGCTATTTGTGTCTTTGAATCTCAAGTCAGTCTCTTGTACACAATATATAGTTGAATCACTTTATAAAGCTGATTCTGAAGCTATCTGACTTTTATTTGGAGAGTTAAATATTATTTACACTTAATTTCATTACTGATAAGGTATAATTGATATGTGTCATTTTGCTATTTATTTTCCACATGTCTTACATCTTTTTTCCCTGAGATATCCATTATTTCCTTATTTTGTTTTAAATAAATATTTTCTATTACGCTATTTTAATCATTTTCATATAATTCCCTGATATATATATATACACATATATCACATACTCCCATATATATATATATATACACACACACACACACACACACACACACTCACATACATACACATGCACACACACATATATCAGGGAATTATAAAATATATGAAAATATATGTATGTATACACATATACACAAATACATGTATTTGTATGACTATATGAATGTCTTATTTAAAGCAGTTTTAGGTTCACAGCAAAACTGAGAGGAAGGCACAAATATTTGCCATATGCCCTCTGCCCACACACATGCACAGAATACCCCATTATGAACATCCCTTACCAGACTGGTACATTCATTATGATGAGTGAACTTACACAGACACATCATTATTATCCAAAGTCCATAGTTTATATCAGAGTTTGCTCCTGTTGTTGTGCATTCTATGGCTTTGAATGAATGTCTAATAATATGTATCCACCATTATAGTATTACACTGAATAGTTTCACTGCCCTAAAAACCCTCTTTGCTCCACCTTCTCTTCCTTCCTTCTTCCATACCCCTAGGAAATTGCTGGTCTTCTTTCCGCCTGTTCAAACCTGCTTCTGAGCTCCTTTAATGAATTTTTGTCTTAGTTATTGTACTTTTCAAAACTAGAATTTCTGTTTCCTTTGTATAATTTATATATCTTAATTGATATATATTTTGTGAGACATTCTCATATGTTATTTTTTTCTTTAAATGTGGTTTTCTTTAGATCCTTAAATACATGTAAAATAAATGATTTTAGATCTTTGTCTAGGAAGTCCAATTTCTCGGCTTCCTTAGGGCCAGTTGGTGTCAATTGTTTTTTCCCCTATGAACGAGCCTTACTTTTTTTTCCTTTACATCTGTAGTGTGTAAAGAGACATCTAAATATGTAATGCCGACAGAAACATGGCCATGAATGAAAAGATTATCAGAAATGATTACGGAATGTGGGGCATATATTTTAAGGACTAGATACTTGGCTTAAAGGAGAATATCCAAACATTTAACTTCTTTTAGCAATATGCAAATGTCAGTATCCTGATTTTTAAGGTTATATTTGGCAATGTAAAATAATGTCATTGCTTATATTAAATATACACTAATGTATGCCAGGGCAATGGAGATATGGTTGCTTTCTTATTCAAAACTGGGTCAGAAAAATACGTATCTTGTACTATATCATCAACTTTTCTGTAAGGGTGTGATCATTTCACTATCTAAAAATAATGAATTGTTAGGCTAAATAAATTTTTTGAAGTGGAAAATTAATCTTTCCAATGAAGAAATAAATAGATCATGAATATAACCAAAAGAAGGTAAGAAATAAAGAGTAAAAAAAAGATAAACCAAGAAAATATAACAGACGAAAGGTGATATAAAAATGCTTATATAATTAAAAGAAAACAACATGTAAAACAACAAAAAGGAAGTAAAATTTCAATGCTGATTAGAAGTTTCCACTAAGCAGACGTGAAATATTTGAAACTTTTTGACCTGATGATTTGGTCTAAAGAATATAAGAAAAAAAATGGTAGAGTCAAAGGAAAAACATAAAAATTCACAATTATATTGAAAATCATCAAATATTTGACAGGTAGAGTAAGAAAACCAGAACATTAACCAAGGATGTGAAAGATTTAATTGCATAAAAAGCTATAGAGTGATAGAAATACGGAAACATGCATTCATGAAAAGAAATCTAGATTGATTTTAGCATATATGAAACATAAAATTCACTATATAGTAGAACACGAAAATTTTCATTGCAATGAATTACAATTAAATGTACCACACTGTCCAGGAGATTATAGATAATAATGAAAGAACTAGTACAAATAAGCAAGGAAAAGCATCATATAGTGTTGTGTATTATTACGCACTAAATAAACTGAAAAATGTAAGAGATCGTGATGGCATACTGGTGCTTATACCAAGAGATGAGTGTGCTCGTTTTTTATTAGACTGTGGGAAATTGACTCTAGGAGGTAATACTTGAGGCAATACTTGAACGTTGGATAAAGCCATCTATGGAACCAAAGAGCTTTCTTGGCAGAGGGAATATGAGTGCAAAGATTAGAACAAACATAATGCCTGGGAGGCTAAACCACAGAGAATAGGCAGTTGGAATATATTAAGTAATGGAATAAAGAACTCAGAGCTTCAAGAAATAGGCCAGATAAGGTAAAATGCTGATGTTAGGAGTGAGAGTATGCTCCACATGCCATGGAAAGTCAGTAGCATGCTTTAAGGAGTGGGGAGGGGTTGTATTTCCATAGGGGTGTGTGTGTGTGTGTGTGTGTGTGTACATGTCTAATGTGATTCTCATTTTAAAAAACTACATATATCTATTGTATTGAGAATAGATTGTAGGAGATTAGGCATCTAAACAGAGTGATCACATTTGCAATTGCCTTGTAAATACAGCTTCAATCTGTCCCATATCTGATTTTGAATCTTCTTCTACTTTGTAACACTGTAAGCTTTTCTTAACTTAAATTTTTAGAAGCTTTTTTCCCTTTATCTGTAAAATATGATTGGCTATTGATCTATTTCTCTAGAAAGTTTAAATAAAGCAAATTGCATAAAGTTCTAGACGTGTTAAGCATGGACAACAATGTTAGGGAATGTGCCTAGAAATGTTTCTGGCTTGTCCTAGATACACATCATTTTTTTGTCACAGTCTCCTGTCAGACTGTTTTTCATTTGTTTTGGGTATATATCATAACATGAAGCACAGAGAAAAAGTTCAACATGAGTTTCACCACCTCATCCCTTATCACAGCCACCAACTAATAAAAGACACACACACATACACTTAATGCTTCAGCATATGTAAACTGGATGGCCACTCTCTCACTTCTGCAGTTAGGTGTTAGGCCAGGTTGCAAACTCTTTCCGCAATGCTCCCCTCCTGTGCTGCTCACGCCCCTTCATCTAACTCAGTCACGCTCCTAAACCAAGACTGAGTGTGGATGATTGCCTTTACTAGGTGTACCTCTCTTTGACTACACCCATAGAACCTTCCACATTATGATTTTTTTTTTCATTGTCGGTAGAATTTCTCTCTTATTTACCATTTTATCTTCAATTCTAGTTCAATGTGGACCATAGAATGGCCAGTGAAAATATATTTGGGGAATAATGGACAAATTCATAAATGAATGTATGACTGGAATTTTGATTCTCCTTAACGGCCAGGGACCCAGAATTCAAATCAAGCAACACACACACACACTCACATACACACACACACATACATGCACGAAAACACACCCTTTTACCACTTATGCCAATCTCATAGTATTTCAAAGGAAACATGATCAAATGGATGTTTGCGTTCAAGGTGAAATCTTAAGATCAGGGTCTTATTGTGTTTAAAATCACTCTGTTGTTGCTGTTTCTTTTTAATTATTTTTCAATTTTTATTTTAGATTCAGGGGGTTGATGTGCAGGTTTTTTATATGGGTATATTGTGTGACACTGATGTTGGGGGTACAAATGATACCATCTCCTAAGTAGTGAGCAGAGTACCCAATAGGTAGTTTTTCAGACTTTATCCTCTTCCTACTCTCCTCAGTCTCATAGATCCCTTTGTATGTTGTTTCTAACTATGTCCATGTGTATCCAGTGCCTAGCTCCTGCTGATAAGTAAGAGCATGTGATATTTTGATTTTCTATTCCAGTATTAATTTGCTTAGGATAATGACCTTCTGCTCCATCCATGTTGCTGCAAAGGACATAATTTTATTATTTTTTATGGCTATGTAGTATTCCATGGTGCATATGTATCACATTTTCTTTATCCCATTTACCACTGATGGGCATCTAGGTTGATTCCATGTCTTTACTATTGTGAATAGTGCTGTGATGAACCTACAAGTTTACGTGTTTTTTATGTAGAAGGATTTATTCTTCTTTAGGTATGTACACAACACTCAGTAATGGGATTGCTGAGTTGGGTGGTGGTTCTGTTTTAAGTTCTTTGAGAAATCTCCAAACTGCTTTCCACAGTGGCTGAACTAATTTTACATTCCCACCAAAAATATTAATTACATTTTCTCCACAACCTAACTAGCATCTGTTATTTTTTGACTTTTTAGTAATAGCCACGTTGACTGGCGTGAGATGGTCACTCATTTTAGTTTCAATTTGCATTTCTTTGATGATTAGTGATGTTGAGCATTTTTTCCTATGTTTGTTGGCTACTTTTATGTCTTTTTTGGAGAAGTGTCTGTTCATGTCTTTTGCCCACGTGTTAATGGGGTTGTTTTTTGCTTGTTGAGTTGTTAATGTTCTTTATGGGTTGTGGATATGAGACCTTTGTCAAATGTATACTTTGCAAATATTTTCTCCCATTCTATAGGTTATTTGTTTACTCCATTAATATGTTTTTTTGTTTTGTTTTCTTTCATTTGTTTGTTTTGCTGTGCAAAAACTCTTTAATTTAATTAGGCTCCACTTGTCAATTTTAACTTTTTTTGCAGTTGCTTTTGAGGATTTAGTTATAAATTCTTACCCCAGGTTAATGTTGAGAATGATATTTCCTAGGTATTCAGCAAACCTAAAATAACTAGAAAAACAAGAACAAACTAACTCCAAAACTAGTAAAAGAAAATAAATAACTAAAATTAGAGGAGAATGAATGAATTTGAGACATCCAAATCAATACAGAGAAACAAATAAACTAAAACTTGGTTTTTTGAAAGGATAAACAAAATCAATTGACTTCTAACTAGATTAACAGAGGAAAGGAGATGATCCAAATAAGCAAATCAAAAACAACAAGGAAAAATTGAAACCCTGAACAGACTAATATTGAGTTCCAAATTTGAATCTGTAATAAAAAAAAAAAAAAAAAAAAAAACTCTAGACCAGATAGATTCATAGCTGAATTCTTCCAGATGTACAAAGAAAACATGGTACCAATTCTAGTGAAACTATTCCAAAATATCGAGGAGGAGAGATGCCTCCCTAACTCATTCTAAAAGGACAACATTACCCTGATCCTGAACCCTGGCAAAGATATGCCAAAAAAAAAAAAAAAAAAAAAAAAAAAAGAAGAAAACTACAGGCCAATATCCCTAGTGAACTTAGATATGAACATCTTCAACAAAATACTAGCAAAGTGAATCTAACAGCACATCATAAAGTTAATTCACCATGATCAAGTAGACTCCATTCCTGGGATGCAAGGTTGATTCAATATACACAAATCAATAATTGGGATTCGCCACATAAACAAAATTTAAAACAAAAAACGTATGATTATCTCAATAGACATGGAAAAAGCTTTTGATAAAATTCAACATTCCTCTATGACACCCCCAAATAATAAGAGCCATTTCTTGTGTCCATTTCTATGTTTGTGAAGATAGAAACATCCTTAACAATAAGAATTCAAACAGTGAATGCTGCTTTTTCACCCTAATAAATATTTTACTTACACACACACACACACACACACACACATGCACGCACACACTGGCTCACTTATTGAAGTCTTCAGTGTTTGATATTATTAGTGATTTGACATATTTATCCAAGATCTTTAATGAAAATACTTTCTGTCTCTGAATCAACCAGAAAGTAAAGAAATCTGGCACCTCATCATGACAGGTGATTTGAAACTATGGCCGTAGTAGTTAGAGCTCTTAGCTCACGTGGTTGAACACAATACAGGCGTGGCTGACTGAGCGTCCCACTTCTGTGGTCATGCTGGGTTGAATTCCATACTATCCTTTTAATACTTCTTTTGATAGCTATGATCACGATGACTCTTTGGCTTGTTTCAATGTGATAGCTATTTGTGGACTGGATGGGATGTTTTCTTCCTGAGATACAAACATTGCAACGCCACTAAAAATAGAGATTTAATTTTAAAAGATTAAATTTAATTTCCAGTGTGATGACCTCTGTGTACACCAGTTGATTTTCTTAGGCATGTAAGACAGTAACTCCTTGACTACAATTGCATACTTTGATTATATGGACTATTTTGCCTTTACATAGAATATGTAAGTGGTATAAGCAGAGAGAGATAAAATCAGAAAAGGATACTATATTGATATTTTTTCTCCTACATATCCAATATTTATCTACAGGCTTTCCTCATTCTCTCTCCTGCATTCAGTAATTCCTCCTCATTCTCTATTGATTTTGAAACAATTTTTAATTAACAGCTGATCATAAAATATTACAATTTAAATTAAAATATTTCTATTGGACATGATATTTATAATCTATTATCCATTTCAAAGTGTATGAGGTGGGTTTTCAAATGCATAGATAGTGTTTATGGCTTTTGGCTTTTCAATTTCAAAAGTACATACTACAAAATTCTTAAAAAATACAGAGGCTTTATTTTTTCCCTGAGTGTGCCACGTTTTAGCCTTATTGTCAATGTCTGCAGCTTTGTCAGCTTAGCACATTTATAATTGAAAGGGCATATTGTCTTTTGCACTTCCCCAAATGCGCCATTTCCTAAATTGGTTCTTCACCTCCTTCTTTCACTTTTTCTCCCCTTCACTTTATTACTCTTTATCCTTCCTTCCTCTTTCTTTCTCCTCCTTCTCTCTCACTAATAGTATAGTAAGCATAAAAGTGATGGTTTATTTTACCCATCAAATTGGGTTACAGAAGGCCCAGATAGTGAATTCGACATTATTTCTAGGGGTGTCTGAGAGGGTGTTTTCAGAAGGGATTAGTATTTGAATTAGTAGGCTAAATTTAAAAAGAGAGAGAGAGATTTCTCCTCACCACTGTGAACGGGCATTATCCAATCAATAGAAGGCTCAAATTAAATAAAAAAGTGGAAAAAGGAAAAATTCCTCCCCTTCTCCACCTTAGTTCTAAGCCTTTAGCTTTGGACTGACTCTTCTGGTTATTGGGCCTTCAGGATCTAGCAGAATTAAACCAGAGGATTTTCTGGATTTCCAGCTTGCAAGTGGCACATCATGTGACTTCTCAGTCTCCATAATTGTGTGAACCATTACCATAATAAATTTCCTCTTATATGTGTATGTATTTTATATACAATAGGATATATATAAATATATATACACATACCTACACATATATACACATACCTATACATATATATACACATATACATATATACACACATACATATATGTATACACACATATTTACATATATATCCTATTGTTTCTGTTTATCTGGGGAATCTTGAATAACGCATTAAGTGAAGAATTTTTACACAGACTCTACTTTTACATATCCATGAATGAGGGCCTCACTACTAATTTTAATAGCCAATTTAATCTTTGGACAGCATTGAATATAAATTTAAAACATATTCTATTTTTTGACCCTATCTCATCTCATGTTATTTAGAGGAAACATAAGCTCAAAATTGCTCCATAGTTTTCGGAAATGTAAAATATTAGAAAGTAATAACACATAACAAGTTGATGACTCTCTAATCTTTCCAACTAAAAATCAAGAAGTTTAACATTTCTTATTTTACATGTAAGCATTTTTCCTTCCTTAATAGTTAAATAAATACCAGAATCCATTATTCCAATCAATTACTGAATCTGTTATTTCTTTTGTCCTGCTTAAAAAGTAAAGGCAAGCAAAACTATTTCACATTTGGCTTCTTTTGTATGCTTTCTTAACAGCTATAAAAATCTGTCTTTTGAAGTGTAATGCTAGCTGAGTAGGAATGTATAATTTAGGTCGCATAATTTGATAATAAAAATAAAAGGTCCATTTATTGATGTGCAGTCATTGTTACTGGGGTCCATTCTCCAGCAGTGGCTGAAAATTTTGATGTTGAATGACCTACATCTACTTTTCTTTTATGTAAATTCAGGAAAGAAAACATGTCTTCTAACATTTCTCACATATTTAGCATAATCTTTCTGGGTTCTCCATTCTCAATGCTGAAGATCTTTCTTCTGAAATCTTAGGATAAATTGTTCAACTCTATTTAGTTCATAATATACCACGTAGGCTTTCCTTTTTGCATCAAGCAGAAGGTGAATATATCTTTCTGCAGTGTTAGTTGCTGCCCTTGCCAGTCCATTCATCTCCCCTCATTTATTCGCCTGATTCAGTCTCCCCAGCTCTGAGTGAATATTGATGAAGCCTGATGCTATACCGACGTGCTCAGAGACACCAGCACAGTAGAGTAGCTTCAAGATTTCTTATGAGTGGAGTTAAAGGCAACACTTTTGTGTAAGTGACCAAGTCTGTGTTAAGGGTGTAGGGAGACTTGTACTGAAGCTGTGCTTAAGTGCAGATGGTATCTCTACTTATATTGCTAGTTAGATGTAGATAAAAAATCCTAAATTTTCCAGTAATAATTTTTTTCAATTTTTATGTAAAATTGAAAAAACATCAACTCTGAATAAAGGCACTTTATTAGTCAGGGTTATCTAGAGAAAAAGAACTAATGGAATATATATACATATATTCCATTTATATATATATATTTCATTTGTGTATATATATACACATACATACTAATATCTAAAATTAAAAAAATCAACTTTGAATAAAGGTACTGTATTAGTCAGGGTTCTCTAGTGGAACAGAACTAATGGAATATATATATATATATATGATTTTATTAAATGTTTATTAAATATTAACTCACACTATCACAAGGTCCCACAATAGGCCCTCTGCAGGCTGAGGAGCAAGGAAAGCCAGTCCGAGTTCCAAAACTGAAGACCTGGAGTCCAGTGGTCAAGGGCAGGAAGCATCCAGCACAAGAGAAAGATGTAGGCTGGGAGGCTAGGTCAGTCTCTCTTTTCACATTTTCCTGCCTGCTTATATTCTAGTTGTGCTGGCAGCTGATTAGATTGTGCCCACCAGATGAAGGGTGGGTCTGCCTTTCTCAGCCCACTGACTCAAATGTTAATCTCTTTTGGCAACACCCTCACAGACACACCCAGGGTCAATACTTTGTATCCTTCAATCCAATCAAGTTGACAGCCAGTATTAACCATCACAGGCACTAAGGTTTGCTTGTTAGTGGTTAGAGAGGGGATCAAAAGAATCTGAGACCACCATTCGCTATTGTTCCTGCCAGAAACTTGTATCTTGAATGTATTATGCTCTTCTCTCAGTGCCCAGGTTACACATTAATCATAATATTTTATCCTATCCCTATATGGCTGATTCTATCTGTCATGAAATAATGCCATTTAGATCTCTTTCAAGAAATAACCTCGCATTTTGTCTTCTATCCAAGATAGCATAACAGGAAACAGATTTACCCTCCCATCCAAAAGAAAAACAAACAACTTTAAAGTGCACAAATACATACAATTGCATCTTTAAAAATATTGGGCATCAGTCAATAAGGACAGTAATCCCTTTAGGATGGGAAACAAATGAGGCAAACCCTATCGTTGCCTCAGCTAACTGTGTGAAGTGTTTCCAGACCACAGAACAGGTAAGGGGGACCCAGAAGGACCCTGATGGTCCATGGTTTGAAGGAATGGCCTAGAGTATCACAGATGAGAGGAGACAGCAAAACAGAGAGAGAGAGAGAGAATTCTAGATACCTGTAGACAGTCTTCTTTGAGTCTTCAGCTGAGGACTGACAGACCTATGTATGTAAGTAAAATATCAGAGGGCAGTGAAATAAACACCCAAAGAATTAAGGGTACAATTCTTAGGCTTAAATGGGCCTGGGGATGGCTTCCGTTCCATAGTAGAGTTTTACCTCCATTGTGGCAGAATACAAGTCCTAGACTCACTAATGCTCTTGTCTTACATAACAAAGCTTGAAAAAATCAAAAGGATACAAGTAATTACAAGTAAGTTAGCTGAGATCTAGAAAAAAGTTCAAGGACATGTATTGGTATACAAAAATAGCCAGCCTGCAAAAGGATAAAATTCATACCTGATATTTAATAAAAACTATTATTCATAAAAAGAAGCTAGAAAATATGAGGCAGAATGAAAAGACATATCAGTGAATTGAAATCACTCCAGAAATGGCACAAATGATAGAATTAGTGGACAAAGACACTGAAAGAGTTATTACAAATGGATCTGACATGTTCAACAAGGTAGAGAAAAGACTGAGCATGTGAAATGAAAACATGAAAAATACATTAAATACATCAATCAGATCAACTGGAGATAAAAAATATAATTTCTCAGTTGAAAAATACACTGGATGGGATTAACAGAAGATGAAACATTATGGATATTGCAAAAATGAATATTAATGCATTTGGAGACCTACTAGAAGACAGGAAAACACACCCACAAAGAAATGAAAAAAGATGGGATAAATAGCAAAGTAGTAGATTTAAACACCACTGTGGTAGCCAGCCTCTAAGATATTCCTCAATAATCTCTGTATTTCTGATATTCATATCCTTCTGTAATTCTCTCCTCTTAATTGTGGGTAAGACTTATTTACTCACTACTAACAGGTAGAATAAGGAAGAAGAGACAGTGTGTAACTCTGACACTGACTTATAAAAGACGTCTCCTCTCCATCCTCTCTCTTTCTCGCTCATCACTCACTGTGGATAAAGCCAGCTCATGAACAACAGTAAGGAGAGACTCATTTACATAGGAACTAAGCATCTTTTCAAAAGACATACGCGTGATCTTGGAAGTAATGTGGGCAGCCTCGGTCAAATCTGCTATGACTGCAGCCCCAGCTGACAGCTTAAATGAAACATCATGGAGACTCTGAGCAGGAAGTGCCCAGCTATACTCCTCCCAGGTTTCTGAACCTCAGAAAAAGTGCGAGCTCATAAAAGTTTGTTGTTTTAAGCTGGTAAGTTTGGGATATTTTGTTACATAACAATAGTACATCAACTGTGCAAAATCAAATTAATTACAAATGTTCCAAAACCACAATAAAAAGTGGAGACTGTCACACTGTATAAAAAAGAGAAATCAACTATATACGGTATATATTTTCATTATACTACAACAAACTCATTTAATATATGAAGACATGTAAATTTAAAGAAAATTATGTAAAAAGCTATACTACGCTAACATTAAACAAAAGAAATTTGGAGTAGCTATATGAATAACAGGCAGTGTATGTTTCAGATTCAGTAATAAAGGGAGGCATACAATAATGAAGGAACCATAAAAATCATAAATGATTTATGTACCTAATAAACAGATTTAAAATATGTTAAGCAATAAGTCATAGACTTGCAAGGTAAACTAAAATAATGCATAAGAATAGCTGATTATTTTAATGCCTCTCAATAATTGAAGTTACAACTAGACAAAAAAAGCAGTCATGCTGTACTAAAAACATGAACAGCAATGCCAACCAATATAATCCTAATCAATATTTAAATTGACAGAAGGATGCACTTTCTTTTCAAGTGCGCAGGAAACATTTGCCAGAATAGACTATATCCAAAGCCACAAGCGAATGTCGACAAATTTTAGATAATCCAGATCGTACAAACTACATTATTTGACAATAATAAAATTCACAAAACTTTAGCCTAACATATCAGAATAAAAGTCATATATTCTCAAGATCAGAACTGAAAGAGGTAGCATCTCTACAGATCCTACACCTCTGATAATTATAAAATATTATGAACATTATACTAATAAACTTTAAAATGTATAATAAATGAACAAATTTCTTGAAAGATGGAAACCATCAAAGCTAAATCAAGATAAAAATAGATAATCTGAATAGCCCTACATCTAATAAATGTATTTAATTTCAATTACATTTTTTCATAGAGAAAATTCCAAACTAAGATGATTTCTTTGGTAAATTCTACCATTTAGTGAAGAAATTATAACAATTCTATACAAATATTTTCTTAAAATGGAAGATGAATTACCAGACAAATATACTAGAAGATCTGATATCCCTCATGAAATAGATGCAAAGAATTTTATTAAGCCCCTTTTCCCATTTAGAAAAAAAAAAGCACAGCTTGCTGCCAGCACTCCTTTAATTTTACATAAACATGCTCTTTGAGGCTGAAGAAAATCTGACAGATTTTCAATCTGAAAATAAAAAATAAAAAATGTTCTTGGAGTTATTTCTAAACAGAACTAACATCAGAATCATCTATTTCAGAAAATCAGATTTATCAAATGAATCTTCAGCCAACCACTGTTGGAGAATGATGTTAACATCATATGTAGGAATGCTACATTTTCTAGGATTTGACATTTTGAGCGATCAAGAATTACCATGTTTTGTAAATGGAAATACTACTACTAAAAACGGAATGCTATAAATAGAATGATGTCTTTTGTTTCCCAATCACTGTACTAGAACAAGGTGAAAATGATAATAAACGCGAGCTATTTTGTGGCAAAGTTATCTCGGGGTAAATGCTGCAGCTGCAAGCACTGCCAGCGAGTATTGTTGGGGCAAATGGGAAAAGGGTTAAGATGCTAACAAATAGAATTCAACAATATATACAAAGTATGAAAAGTCATAACATGTGGAATTTATCTCTAGACTGTGATATTCTTTAACATTCAAAAATCAATCAAGACAATTCACGATATTAAAATACTTAAGAATAAAAAATGTAGGATCATTTGAATAGGCACAGAAAGGATATGGTGAATTTCAGTATCCATTACTGACAAAACAGCATAACAAGCTATGACTAGAATTGAACTTCCTCAACATGATGAACAGTAACAATGAAAAAAACTATTTAAAAGTGACATATACAATGTCGTCTCCACTGAGGTCAAGAATAAGACAAAGATATCTGTCCTAGGCATGTCTGTTTAGCATTTTATTGGAAGCACTAGTTAGTGCAATTAGGAAAGAAAAAATAAATAATAGGCATACAGATTAAAGAGGAAAAATTAAAGTTATGGGTTTTTTTTACATATTATACTATAGTTTATGCAAAAATCCTTTTGAATATCAAGAAACAAACAAACACACTACCTCACTAAAAAAGCTTACTTTGTTAAGACTTCATAATATGTAATCAATATTTAATAAATGTTTGATGAGTTTTTTTTAATTAGTAGGCATTTTCTCTTATTGCAGTTTTAGGTTTACAGAAAAACTGAACGGAATGTATAGAGTTTCCATAATACTCCTTATTTACTGACCCCCAATATTCCTGACTATTAATATCTTGTGTTAAATGATGCAATGCATTTTTTACAAAAAATGATATTGATACGTTATCAAGTTCATAGTTTACATTAGGGTTCACTCTTTGTATTGCACAGATGTATGGTGTTTACCAAATGTATAACAACCTATCCAACATTATGGTATCTTACAGAATAGTTTTATTATCACTCATCCCTTCCCCACTGCCAGCTCCCGGCAATCGCTGATCTTTTCCTGTCACTATAGTCTTGCCTTTTCCAGAACATCATATAATTAGAATCACAGAGTGTGTAGTGTTTTCAGACTGGCTTCTTTCACTTGGCAGTATGCACTTAAGGTTGCTTCATGTCTTTTGATGGTTTGGTAATTCATTTCTTTTCCGTGCTAAACAATATCCCATTGTCTGGGTGCACTGCAGTATATTTATCCATTCATCTACTGAAGGATATATGGGCTGCTTCCAAGTTTTGGCTATTATGAATAAAGCTGTCACAAACCTCCAAGTGCAGGTCTTTGTATGGACATGTTTTCAGTTCATCTGGGTAAATAACAAGGAATAAGATTGCTGGATGATATGTTGAATATGTTTAATTTTGTAAGAAACCCTCAAGCCATCTTCCAAACGTCTGCTTGATTATGCATTTCTATCAGCAAGGAATGAAAGTCCTTGTTGATCCACTAATCACCAGCATCTCCTGTCAATGTTTTGGATTTTGGCCATTCTAACAGGTACCATTCTGATAATGGTACCTCAGTGTTGTTTTAATTTGTATGTCCTGATGACATAATGTTGAGCATTTCTTCATGTTTATTATCATCTGTACAGCTTTGTTGAGGTGTCTGTTCAGATGTTTTGCCTACCACAATCAACATTTAAAAAAAATCATTTGTATTTCTATATACTAGCAATTAACAACTGGAAATATTTAAACTTAAAAACACTAACATTTACAATAGCATGAAAATAGTAAACAGTGATAAACCTGATGAGAGATTGGCAAGACATGTGTGCTGAAAACTACAAAATGTCATGAAGATACATTAAAAAAAAAGGCTTCAATATATTAAGAGAGATACCTTGCTCATAGACTAGAAGTTCATCTTCACTGTTGTTATGATCTCAGTTCTTTCCAAATAGATCTATAGTTGATATAATTTATAAAATTAACATGTATATAAAAAGTGTGTATAATGGGCACAAAACTTTAAAAATAAGAACATAGGTGAAGGGCTTACACTATCTGATTTTAAGACATCATAAAATTAAAATAAAGATGATTTTGTGATATTGGAATTTTAAAAAGATAAATGAACAAGTAAGACGAAATAGATAATCCAGAAATAGATCCATACATGTATGGTCAACTGATTTTCCTCAAAAGTGCAAGAGCAATTCAATAAGAAAAGGTAATCTTTTCAAAATATAGTGCTAGAATAATTAAATATTCATATAAAAAACTGTTCATCTATGCTTCACATCATATGCAAAAATTAACAAATACCGATTCATAGTGATGAATGTAAAATCTGAAAATATAAAAGTTCTTGAAGAAAACATAGGAGAAAATGTGTGTGACTTTGAGTTATGCAAATATTTCTTTGGTGTAACAGCAAAAGCACAATTTATACAAGAAAAAAATGACAATTTGGACTTTATCAAAATTAAGAACTTCTGATCTTCTAAAGATATTGAAAAGCAAGCCACAGATTAGGGTAACATTTTTGTAGGAAATATATCTGATAAGGAACGTGTATAAAGAATATATAATAAATTCATCTCAAAACTCAGTAATTAGAGAACATCTCAATAAAAATGGGAAAAGTTTGAACTGATATGTGACAAAAGATGTACATATGTCAAATAAGCACATGGAAAGAGAATCCGCATCATCAGTCACTAGCAAAATGCAAACAAGTCGCATTGATTTACCACTACACAACAATTAGTAGGTATAAAATTGAAAACAAAATAACATAATACAAAACAAAACAAAAACTAACCATGTGAGGTATTGGCAAGGATATGGAATGACTGCATAGCCACCTTAAAGAACAGTTTGACAGTTTTTTAAAGACTTCATCATATAACTAATATATGATCCATCCATTTCACTTCTAAGAATTTACCCAGTGGAAATTAATGTGTATATTGTAAAGATATTTTACATACATATTCAAAGAAGTTATATTTGGTACAGCAATAACTAAAATGACCCAAATATCCAACAATAGAATAAATAAGCAAACTGTAATGTGTCTATATGATGAAATATTACTCAGAAATTAAAATAAATGAACTATTCATACTTGCTTCAACATGGTTGTATCTTAAAATGTCAAGTGAAATAAACCAGACAAATCATATTATATTATTCCATTTATTAAAAATTCTGGAAAATTTAAAAATTGTCTATACTGACAGAAAGCAAATCAAACTTTGGACAGGGGTCTCTAGTTGTGGGAGAGATTTCAGTGGAGCACAAGAAGCATTTTTGGGGTGATAGTTACATTTATAATCTTGGTGGTGATAATGGTTTCACAGGAAATCATCGCATATCAAAGCCTACCAAATTCCACACTTTAAATATGTTTATTGTGTTGTGTGCCAATGATAGCTCAATTAAAAAATAATTCATAGTAATATGAAATATTGCTCTTGGGCTTTCATAATACATGAACAGATAAATCACATCTAAGGAAATCATGTGATCACTAATAGAATGTTTTGCATCTCATTCTATTTTCTGTAAGCAAATTCCCTTTACTATGGAATAGTGTACTTCTTGCCTCTTAATGTCTTAGTGTAATCACTTGGAGTGCCATGAAGATAAAACTTGTATGACTGAATTTATTTACTATTTGTTTTTATTGACTTGACAACATTTTATAAAACATTCACAGAATGCCAGAAACTGTTGAAAACTGAAAGGTTGGCCTGCCACTTGGTTTTTCACCTTTCTGAATCAATCATATTCTTTTAACATGGAAGATATTACTTGAAGGCATTTTATTCAGCCAATACATGGATTGTTCTCAAAATAAAATGTCTGTAGTCCATATCCTCAAGGGTTTGGGTAAAAATTATCTCTAAATTCTAAACCCAACAAAGCAGATTTTTATAGACTTGTGAAGATTCCCTTTCTCCCCAAATCTCTACCAGGGTGACCATGTATAATAAATAATCCTTGAAGGCAAAATACACTTTTCTCTAATAATTCTTTGGCAACAAATGTGTTTTCTATCTAAAATAGACCATATCTTGTTTTTTTCTGTAATCTGTATTTGAGATGTTTTAAACTTGGACTTTGCCTCCAATAAACGGACGGTTCCATTTGGAGTTGCAGAAAGGTGTTTGATTTTTCTTCTTCTTAACCTTCTCTCTTTAACATGGTGGTCAAGTTGGGGGATGTAGCACTTCCTTTGAGTTTTTTCAATATAGCAAGAAAGAATGAATCATATATGTTTCCATAGCAGGTTATTTGTGATAATTATAGGGAGCACGTGTTTCCATAACTACAAAGTGTTGGCTACAAACAGCAAAGCTCTCCAGTCCTACTCTTCAGAGATTAGAACGTTCTCAATAGGGCTCAACACCTTAGGCTTTCAGTGTCCATGGGAAGTTGAAGCACTACTTTTGAGTCACACTCATAGTAACTCTTTGCAATATGGAATGAGTGTTGACTGTCATAATAGATAGAGATGGTACATATTGTTATATTGTTAAAAATTATTATTAGTAGTAGAGAAGTTAGTAATTTTCATCTTTTGTAGAAGTGATCATAGTGGAATTAGTTGTAAAACTCATGTGAATTCAGCCACCAGATAAAGATTTTATATAGTTGACATAACCCAGATTTTTCCATCA
Source organism: Homo sapiens (assembly GCF_000001405.40). Lineage (NCBI taxonomy): Eukaryota > Metazoa > Chordata > Mammalia > Primates > Hominidae > Homo > Homo sapiens. Next base: position 137,705,641 of record NC_000008.11, on the reverse strand, counting down.
AAAAGTTGGTTTGGGAATTTGTACTAACTGCTGACTAGTTTTGTTACTTTGGAAAATTCACTTAATCACTGGAATGAATTTTTACACTACAAGCCACAAAAACAACCAAGTTTTATGAATCCTGCAAGAAAGGATAATGTGAAAGTATTTCGTAAACAACCAATAATAAGCAAAACAACTGTTGTTAATGCTAATTATAGGATTATAGGCTGATTGAGAACTTAGTTCTGAATGTAATGTGCTGTGCTTTAGATATTGGTCCTCTCCAAACTTCATGGTGTAATCTGCTCCCAATGTTAAATGTGGGGCCCAATGGAAGGCATTTGGGTCAGTGGGTGGATCCCCCATGAATAGATTAATGCCCCTTAATGCCCCTCTCCTCCACACCATGGGATGAACAAGCTCTCACTCTATTAATTCCAGAGAGATAGCAGGTTATTAAAAAGATCCTGGCACCTCATCTCTCTCTCTCTTTCTTTCCCTTTCTTCTCCTCTCCTGCTATATGATCTACACACACCTGGTCCCCTTTGTCTTCTGCCAGGAGTGGAAGCAGCCTGAGGCCCTCACCAGAAACAGATGCCCAATCTTTCACTATTCAGACATCCAGAATGGTGAGCCAAATAATGTTTTTTAAATAGTAATAATTACACAGCATTTCTTTACAGCAAAAAAAAAAAAAAAAAAAAAAAGAATTAAGACAACGCGTATAATCTTTTTAGCATTTAAGAGTTATTACTTAGATGAGTAAATTTATAGTGAGAAAATAATTCCATTTCTGGGCATTTTAAATCAATAGAAAACTCCTTATTCAGTTGTCATATTCTGTCTTATCTTCTATTTTTGTGTAAGTCTCATTTAAAAATTATCATTCTCTATATTGTACAATAGCATTACATTATTAGAAGGTAGTTGCCAAGCGTCCACTCAGACCCTAGTCTTTGAGTCTTCATACTAAACATTCCCACTTCTTTTGACTGCCCCTCATAGGACCTGGGCCCCTTCATAAAGATGATGACTTGATCGTAATGTACAGTTCATTTATAAACAATATTGATGGAAAAGGGGGATAGGAAGTTGGGCTGTTTTCTGACACCAATGACCAATTCTCCAAATGCCTACTGGGTGTCCAGCAATTTAATTCAATTCTGCTACCTGGAGTATGCATCAGGCTCCACAGCTTTAAGGGCTCAGTTCCACAAGACTGCCCCCACTTTAGATGCCAAACGCAAACCCTGAAGCTACCCATATTTCTCACGGACCAGCTATAAATTGGGAATTCTCGCAACCCCCTCCTCAGTTTGGCTGATTTGTTAGCACAGCTCACATAATTCAGGATGGCACTCTGCTTACAGTTACCAGGTTAGTATAAGATACAAATGCACTGCCAGTTGAGGAGGTACATTGGGCAAGGCTTGGTGAGAGCCTGAGCTCAGGAGCTTTGCTCCTGTGGAGCTGGGGGCACCACCCTCCCAGAACATGGATGTATTTGCCAATTCTGAGCCTCTCCAAATATAATTTTTTAAGAATGTTTTAGATCTCAATCTCTAGCCCCCCACTCATCTTCCAAGAGGTTAGTGGGTGGGGCTGAATGTTCCAACCCAGAATCACTTCATCTCTCTGTTGACCAGCCTCACCCTAAGACCATAAAGCCCCATTTTATGTCACCTCATTAGCATAAGCTCATGTGTAATAAACAGGGATCCAGTACAAATAACAAGAGACATACTTATCACTCAGAAATCCCCAAAGTTTTAGGACCTCTGTGCCTGGAGTCAAGGAGGTGACAAAAACCAAATATAGTTTTGCATTATACAACACAAGGGGAAAACTACATGAGTCAACTTTCTAATCCTCTGCTGATCTGACTTGTTTTGGCAGGAAGTTTTACACTTTGGACTATTTGGAATAAGATATGTGTGTGGGAGCCCTCAGCAATATTCATGCATAACCATTATGTTTCATCTGAACTGTGGAAACTGAGATGCCATGAGATAAAAGTTGTATCCCTTAGTAAAAATATAGTAAGTGGTTATTTAGCGTGATTAACATAGCACTCATCTGTCTCCACAACATTTGAGTAAGGCGAATTGTTTACATGCACTGGGGAATTAGAGAGCTCTATTCAAGATTTTCTTTGGAAAAAAAAAAAAAAGAAGCAGAAGGTTCTGACACTCATACAAACTTGAGCCAAGAGCATATCTGAAGGCAGAGTCAAGCTCCACCTTTGAAATTAATTTTGGCTACTCTAAAGCATTGATAAATCAATAGATGCAATTTTTTTAAGCATCAATTTTCTGCCACTGGCTTTACAAAATCATTTCTAATATTCTCAGATATTATTTAGTCTTTTTTTTCCTTACAAATGGAGAAACTATGAGCCAAACACTTGTCATGAATTGCCTTAGGATGCACAATGGTAGGTCCTAGGACCACAGTTCAGATTGCTGGGCTCTCAACTCTTAGTATTTCCACTGTGCACACCCCCAAGCTCTCGCTGCCATGATTGCAGGGCTCGGTGGAAAATGCATGTTCTTGGATTCACAGCCAAGTGTGTGTTTTGAGTTTCAGCTTCTATTTGTCACTTGAGTTTGAATCTAATGAGCACTAGCTTGCTATCACACAAAGGAAGTCCGTGACTTTCCACTGGCCATGGGAATTGTCAACATATGGTCGAGTTGTCACTATTTTAGACAAGCAGCTTCCTTTCCTAAAACTAGGGGAAATGTACAATATATATATAGCTACCAAAATGAGGACCTTATGTTGCAATCCAGAAAAGTCAAATATCTTCTTTAAGCTGTTTTCTACAAGCCCTTACTCTATTTTCCTCATTGATAAGAAAAGGAGTAGTAGTACAGCCATGACTATGTTGTCTGTGGGACCCCATCACAGCTGTGTGAGCACTTCTTTGAACCTGTCATAAGGTTAAACAACTGAATTGTTGCAAGTCTTTTGTTTTGTGCAACCTTTTCTGATACAGCACAAATTCCTTTGAAATATTTAAGTTGGGAAATAAATGAAAGGTGCACTTTATCAGGATGTAAATTTTTTAATATAAAGCATTTTTTAATCTAGAGATCTCACCATCATATCAAGAAAAATATTCTGGGGCCAGGGGCAGTGACTCACGCCTGTAATCCCAGCACTTTGGTTGGCCGAGGCGGGTGGATCACCTGAGGTCGGGAGTTCGAGACCAGCCTGACCAACATGGAGAAACCCCGTCTCTACTAAAAATACAAAATTAGCCAGGCATGGTGGCTCATGCCTGTAATCCCAGCTACTCAGGAGGCTGAGGTAAGAGAATCACTTGAACCTGGGAGGCAGAGGTTGTGGTGAGCTGAGATTGCGCCATTGCACTCCAGCCTGGACAATAAGAGTGAAACTCTGTCTCAAAAAAGAAAAAAAGAAAAAAAAAAAAGAAAAACATCCAGTTTATAATCCCATATGGCAGCCTAGATTTTAATGGTCAATTCTATTAAAGTGATGATCCAAGCTAACCTAGGTAAAACAGTAAAAAGGGAGCATCAGGGAAACTTATGGCTGTCTGTTTTGGATGAGACCAATAATGAGTAAAAATATCAACTACTGTTAAGAGAAAATCTCAGCACTTAAAAGGAGCTTTGAAGTCATTCAATCACACCCACTTACATTAGATATAAGGTAACAGGCTCAGAAGTGTCAGGTGACTTGCTGATGATCACACTTATTACATTTAGTATTAGAGGCCAGGTGCGGTGGACATCTGTAATCCCGGCACTTTGGGAGGCCAAGGCAGGCGAATTGCTGGACCAGCCTGGGCAACACGGTGAAACCCTGTCTCTACAAAAAAGTACAAAAAGTAGCCAGCCGTGATGGTGTGTGCCTGTAGTCCCAACTATTCAGGAGGACGAATTTTGAGGATGGATTGAGCCTAGCAGGTTGAAGCTTCAGAGTTCAGTGAGCTATGATTACGCCACTGCACTCCAGCCTGGGTGACAGAGCAAGACCCTGTCCTAAAATAATAAAAAGGGTAAGTAGTAAAGATAGGCCTGAATTCATTGATTCTAGCTCCCAGTCCTGTAGTTTAACCACAGTGAATCTGGAAGCTGAACTCCCTCACACATACGTTGTTGTTTCTATTTAAATGAAGGAGTTGAGTCTATTCATTATAAAGTATACTCAGAAATTAATTAAAAATAAATCATATATCTAAATATAATATCCAAAATTATTAATATAAATCTCCTGGAAGAAAAATTGTTGAAAATACTTATAACCTTGTATTAGTAAAATATTTCTTAGATATGACTGTAACTGCATGGTTCACAGAAGAAAAAAGTTGATTACTTTTTCTTTATTTTTTTATGGTTCATTTAAAACAAAAACAAACAAATAGAAATGAGAGCATTTTTGTGTATCCAAGCAGCAAAGATCAATTTGGTAAATAGTGTTGGCAAGAGGACAAGCAAAGAGGCTCTTTCATAAAATATTGCTGGAATTATACATTAGTGCAACAATTTTGGAGGGGAATAGTGATCAAAATGTTAAATGCACATATCCTTTGAACCAGGAATCACTTTTAGAAATATTTCCTACAAAAAATACACACTGACAGTCTCTCATATAAAACTATCCACTGTAACACTATTTGTAACAGCAAAACACTCAAACAGCCTACACATCTGCCCGTAAAGTATTAGTTTAAATAACTTATGCTATTTCCACACAGTGGAGTACCACGCAGTGGAGCCGTTTAAAATGAGCTGCTGTATTCTGCTGTAAAACGACCTGTAAAAGTGGCAAAACACTGCACATATAACCCATTTGTGCAAGCAAAAAGGAAGGGAGGATGCATATAATAGTGCATACCTAGGAACTGTCTGGAAGGAGAAACAGGTTTTAGGAAATGGCACTGAGACGAAGTTTCATTTTATACTATTATTTATAACAAGCGCATCTGAAAAATGGAAGCATGAATGGGGGAAATACCAAATAATTTCTTTTCAAATAATCTTAGATAGGTGGTTTTCAACGCCAGCTGTTCATTAGGATCACCTGGGAACTTTAAAAAATCTTAGCACCCAGCACCCACCAGAGAGCACCAACAAATCTCAGAACGGGCCCCTGCTTATCAGTGTTTTCAAGTTCCCCAGATGATTGTAATTCTCAGCTGGTGTTTTACAGATCACTAATTACACCAGGAGCCCCTTTTTCTGCAAAGGGCCACATCCGAAATATTTTAGGCTTCGTGGGCCATTGATAAGGTCTCTGCCACATATTGTCTCCTTTTTAAAGACCTTTACAAATGTAGAAACCATTCTTAGCTCCTAGGTAATATAAAAACAGGCCATGAGCTGGATTTGACCCATAGGTCATTTGGCCAACCCCCAATTTAGACTATGCCCAGGCTGGAAGATAGCCTGGAAAAGGCACGATGAGACGAGCTGTATCCAAAAGCCTGTAAGCTGCTTCCAAGAAGCTTCTGCAGGGAACTCACAGGTCTGGACCCCCGGCCCTCTACCTGCCACCCAGGTCTTTCTGGTTTGGGTAGGAGGTAGAATGCGTTTAGACTCACAACAATAAAACTCCTAAGATCCATTATAAACCAGCCAGTTTATTATTTTGTAGTAAGATGTAGAACTTCTACCATGCAGACTGAAATACCTATGTCAGCATGAACAGTACATTTTCTTCCTAGAGGCAGTCACATGGAAAACCAGGTTATCATCAGGTTATTTAGTGGGCGCAGAAACCATACAAGAGGAGACTAATCTTAAGACCCGTAACTCACCCATAAAAGCTTGGGGCACACTTTCCCACCACTGGAACCCCTCAGCCTCCAGAAAGCTTGTTGACTCCTCCCTCCCAGTCTTGCTCTGGCTAAGCACTGCTGCTTGTCAGTCACCTCCTACAGCCATATGGTCAGTCCAGCTTGGCCTAAGAGCTCTATCTCTGCTCACTGCTTTGTGTTGTTACTGCCACTGTTACTAACGGTTCAGGTTCTGAAGGGGGCACGTCAATTGCACCCATGTACCAAGTGCAAGACACAATAATCCTGTTAGTTTATTCTCCCAAAACCACTCCACTCAAGTTTATCAGGTAATATGCTCTGTAAGGTTCTTTCTAAACCTGTTAGAACATATATGGATTACCTATAAATTCACCTAATGTAACCTACTTCCTACAGAGAATTGAGGTTTTAAAGGTTTTTTTTTCTTTTACTTTCTTGATCCCAACCATGTAGGAATTAATGAAACCAATTCTGTGTCACCTCTGGAGACAAGACAGAAATACCAAGTGATGTGTATTTTTCAAATTAATGTGATTTTGTTCTCTGTAATGTAAAAATGAGAGAATGCAGTCAACTCCGCACTCAATATTAGCAATAGTCAAGTCGACAAAAAATGTCTTTCAGCAGTAGAAAAGTTTGCTTTCAAATTAAAAAGCAAAGCACGTATTGCAAACATCATGTAATAATGATTAAATTATAGAAAAATATATTCAGACTGACCCAAGGCATTCACACTACATCAGAATTTTGCCTGTAATAAAACAGTGAATTTTATTCCAAAAAGTGAGTTAGGTCCACGCTGGCCTCAATCTTCAGCCCCAGATCCAATGAATTAGGATGAAGTACATAGTGCATGTTTAATAGGCATTGCATATAGATTAACCATTCTTTAATATCCCTCACTAAGGTTTTGAGGGAGAGAGGGATGCAGTGTGGACATGTGCACTCACAAAGGCAGAATTTTTCTTCTAACTGTAACACGTCATACATATGACCCTTTACTATATTTTGGCCCATAGCTAAGATTTTTATCCATGGGACTCTACCTTTGAAAATCACAACAAAAATCAATAGGGAATGATTTAATATAAAATATACAAATTTCTCAGTATGAGGACTTTCACAGAAAAGAAAGAAGGGGACAACAATAGAAATCACTTTTCTTCAAAAATAACATTCCCTTTATTTTGTCCCTGCTACTTTACACTCAAAAGAAAATCTGTACAAAACTGGGAATATAGAAAAGGACAAGAGGGGATATTCCATTGTAATGTCTTAGGACCTACTCTGAACTTTCGTCTTCATCAAGACCCCCAACCTATAGAGCTGAGGGCTCTCTGATCCACTGGAGAAAGTGAGTGGTGTTTGATCATCACTCCTGCTTCACCAAAGCTGGCCCCAGGTCACTCTCTGCCAAACTTAACCAAATTGACCTGGACAGAGGTTGAGCCTCCCTGCTTTCTTCTTGGTTTTCTTGTGCCAGAAGGATTTGCCTTGGTGAACTTCAAAACCTGATTGGCTCGCTCTCTCAGTCTCCATCTGCACCTCCCTTGGCATCAAGTTGTCTGCCACTCCTGAATCCACCTCCCTCTCCTCCTCCCTGGCCCTTTGGGATGGGGATGATGACTTTTTTTCTCCTTTCTTCCTTCATGGAAATCTGTTACGGGTCTGAAGCTTTATGCTCTTGGCTTGAGGAGTCTCTGCCTCCTTGGAAGCCTCATTCTGCTTCTGCTTCTTTTCTGAACCTGATGTGGAAACTGCCACCGCTGCCTTTTTCTTGTCTTTTCACTCTCTTCCTCCTCCTTACTGTTCTTAGCTGCTTTTCCATTCTGGGCAGTCAGTGCATAGTTGCCATTGGCCTTGGGTGTGGACTTGGAGAGCCCTTGCCCTTGGGCTTCTCTTCCTCATCCTCACTGGAATCATCAGAGGAAGAACTGCTGCTGCCCTCGGCCTTTACCTTCTTTCTGAGGCTGGCTTGGAAGGAGCTCCATTATCCTCAGAGCTGTCAGGGTCAGAAGTGTCTGCAGAGATCTCTGCTGCTTTCTTTTTGGTGGAGGTTGTTTGGTTGTTGCTTTAGAGATGACTCCCGTAGACAGGGTCTCTCCTCTTCCCCAGAACTTGAGTTAGAGTCATCAGTGCTGTCTTCACTGCTTTCCACAGGCTGTTTCTTCTTCGCAGTTTTCTTGGGAGTCTGGGTTCCCACAGACTTCTTTGATTGAGGAGCAGGAGGTCGGGGGACTGAACTGTAGGGATCTGTTTTTTTGTTTGTTTGTTTGTTTTGTTTTTTGTTTGTTTGCTTGTATTTTTTAGAACGGTTCTGCTCCCCTTCTTCCTCATTGGAGAATTCCTCACTCCTGGAACTCTACTAGGTAGGATTGGCAGCTGCTTTCACTGGGAGCTTGGCCATGACTTGCTTTTTGGGTATAGTCTTCTTGGGGATGGCTGCTGCCCTCCCCTTCTCTGAGTCACCCCTGCTGCTGCTGCTGCTGCTGCTGGCTGCTTTGCTATTGGCTACTTTAGGTGCTGCTGGAGCTGGAGTACCCGGTATGGCTTTGGCCCAAGTTTAGCTGCCACAGATGTAGTCTTTGCCTTCTGGTTCTGTGGTGTGCCTCATCCTCAGAGCTTGAGTCAGAATCAGAATCAGACTTCTTGACCTTCTTAGGAGGAGCTTTGGCTGCCTTGGCTTGGGGCTTGACTCCATCTGGACAGGCTTTTTCCTTGTGTCTCCTCCTCCTCACTGTCACTAGATTATTCACAGCTGCTGCTCTGACGCTTTCGCCACAGCCTTTCCAGGATGTTGAGGCAGACTGGCTCCCATGGCAGGTACAGCAGCCTTCTTAGCTGGGGGCCCTTGAGCGTCCCCGTCCTCTCACTGCTGTCCTCACTGCTGTCACAGGATGAGGTCTTCTTCTTAGCTTTCTTAGTCACTGGTCCATTTGCCTGTAACTTTCGCTTTGGGGCTTTGACGGACTTGAGCCAGAAGCTGTAGATGTCCAAGAGGGAAAAGGCATTGGCATCCTGCTGTGTAGTTCCTGTCACTTTGGCGAACTTCTTGGCCATCTCCAAGAGTTGGTTGTCACACAGGAAACCAAACACGAGGGGACACAGGTGGCTGGGAACCACACGGCGCAAGCCAGCATCCACCATCCTCCGAGCAATATGTGTCACTACTACCTTTTGAAAGTTAATAATTTCTGCTCTTGAAACTATCATTAAAATGAAAAGAAAAGCCACAGACAGGTAGAAAATATTTGCAAAGGGTATATCTGATGATAGATGGGATCCAGGACTTAAAAAGAACACTGAAGTTCAATAATAAGAAAATAATCTGATGAAAACATATGCAAAAATGTACATAGACACTTGGTGAAAAATCTAGAAGACAAATAAGCACATTAAAATATGCTTAACGTCATTAGTCATTAGGAAAATGTAAATTAAATCTGTAGTCAAATACCATTGCACACTGATTAGAATGTGTAAAATTAAAACAACTGAACATATCAAGTATTGACAAGTACATCGCACCTTAGGAACTTTCATTCAGAGCAGGTGGAAATTTAAAATATTGCAAACATTCTGGAAAAAAAGATGTTAGGCAACAGATGAATGGATAAACAAATCATGTTATGCCCAAACAATAAGATATTACTTATCAATCTAAGGTCAAATCTCAAAGTAATTGTTCTGAATAAAAGTAACCAGACAACAAAGGGTAGCTACTTGCATGATTCCATTTAAAAAATGTCTATACAATGCTAACAAATCTATAGTGATGGAAAGATCACCGGTTGCCTGGAGTTGGGGTTGGCAATGAAGGACACATAGAGGGAGGCAAGGAGGTTTCTGGTGTGACGGATATGTTCACTGTCTTGTGGTGACTGGTTTCTGACTGTATACATATGTCAAAACTTATATTGTATACTTTAAATGTTTGCAATTTATTGTCAAAATACCTATAAAAGCTGTTAAAATAATTTATATGTTTCACAAATAACTTATTTGTGAATTCATAACCGTTTATAAATTTTTAAATAATTAAGTAGGAAAAAATGCTGCATATTAGAACATGTGAGATGCAGCTTACTTGAAGAGTTGAGGCAAATTTATGGCTCTAAATGCTTATAATGAAAATGAGAAAATACTTAAATATTAATTAAGAAAGGAATAATTGAAACTGAAGCACACAATAGGAAAAATAATGAAGCAAATAACCTAAATTAATGACATGTAAACCCAAGATGTAAAAGAGAAAACAACAAAGTCAAAATATACGTTTTCAAAATGATTAAAAGAATAGAAAAATCTCTGTTAAGGTACATCAAGGAAAAATGAATAGACCACAATAACCATAATGAGAAATATAAAATCTAGTATTGATGCAGATAAACAGAAATTTAGAAAGATACAGAAATATAATAAACAACTTTCTGCCTACAAATTTGAAAATTTAAATGAACTAGACAATTAGACATACAGTTAATCAAGTAGTGTACCAAAATTCTAAAAAAAAAAAGGGAAAAAAGTGTAAATCATGCTTTGGTAATTAAAGTAATTGGTGCCATTAGGTAAATTATTCAATTACTCACTTAAATAAAATATGCAACCAGAATCTTAGCACAGCAGACAATTTTACAAGTGAATTATATTTAACATTCAATGACAAAAACATTCTTTCAGAAAACAAATAAAAGAAGCATTCCCCAATTTATATTATCAGGTTAGTATTACCTTACATCAAAAATAGACAGGGAGAGTTAATTTTTTTTAATCTTATTTTTATATCTTTCAGTGAATTCTCAACCTTTGCATGATCTACTGCCTGGAGCCAGAAAGAATGTATCAAATTATTTTTTAAAGTTCAGTCCTTTTAAATATGTAAATAGTTCTAATTAGCTGCCTGAATTTTATTTTCTCTAAGCTAAACAACCCACTGTAAAAATTGTTCATGTAAAACCAGACCGTTTTGCAATCTACTCATCTGACAAAGGGCTAATATCCAGAATCTACAATGAACAGAAACAAATTTACAAGAAAAAAACAACCCCATCAAAAAGTGGGCGAAGGATATGAACAGACACTTCTCAAAAGAAGACATTTATGCAGCCAAAAGACACATGAAAAAATGCTCATCATCACTGGCCATCAGAGAAATGCAAATCAAAACCACAATGAGATACCATCTCACACCAGTTAGAATGGCAATCATTGAAAAGTCAGGAAACAACAGGTGCTGGAGAGGATGTGGAGAAATAGGAACACTTTTACACTGTTGGTGGGACTGTAAACTAGTTCAACCATTGTGGAAGTCAGTGTGGTGATTCCTCAAGGATCTAGAACTAGAAATACCATTTGACCCAGCCATCCCATTACTGGGTATATACCCAAAGGATTATAAAACATGCTGCTATAAAGACACATGCACACATATGTTTATTGCGGCACTATTCACAATAGCAAAGACTTGGAACCAACCCAAATGTCCATCAATGATAGACTGGATTAAGAAAATGTGGCACATATACACCATGGAATACTATGCAGTCATAAAAAGGATGAGTTCTTGTCCTTTGTAGGGACAGATGAAGCTGGAAACCATCATTCTCAGCAAACTATCCCAAGGACAAAAAATCAAACACCGCATGTTCTCACTCATAGGTGGGAATTGAACAATGAGAACTCATGGACACAGGAAGGGGAACATCACACACTGGGGCTTGTTGTGGGGTGGGGGGAGGGGGGAGGGATAGCATGAGGAGATATACCTAATGTAAATGACGAGTTAATGGGTGCAGCACACCAACATGGCACATGTATACGTATGTAACAAACCTGCACGTTGTGCACATGTACCCTAAAACTTAAAGTATAATAAAAAAAAAATAAAACCAGACCTATTAATTATCAATAAACAGAAGTAAGGAAATAGTGTTTTTATTTAATGAAGAGTCTTGTGTTTTTTTCGTAAAGAAGTCCTCAAAAAGCCAAGATTTGCAAAGATTTAATGGTGTACTGAGATATAATATATAAGGGAAAATACTTCTCTTTCTTCTTCCCCTCTCTGCCTCTAAGCCCATTATGTTTAGCTCTTAAAATTTTCTCTTTCAATTTATTACTGACATAATTGTGTCTGGTTATAATGCCTTTCATTAATACAACAATCTAGAGATTTCATGTCCTCGAAGATAAAAGACACTATCTGAGCAATTATCTCACCTCATGGGATTTTTGGCTCATCCATCATTTAAAATCATTATTTTGGTGCACAGTATCAGCTGATCTTTTTACCAGCATGCTGTGTATGATCACTGGTGTCAATCTGTCTTTATTTTTGGTTCAGTTTCTACTTTTCAAGGAACGATTATTTTCTTATATTTTCCTGAGTCTATTCCTTTCTACTTGGTCAAGTAGAAAGAAATATATATTTATACTAATAGAAAGACATCTATTAAATGTATCAAACAATAGCAGTATAAATCTTAAAGGAAATCCAAATCGTCCCTTCTTGAGACAAAAAAAAAAAAAAAGAATGTCCATATGTCAACGACAATGAGGCTTATTTTTATTTTGTTTCAATTTACTATTAGAGGTTTCCAAAGTTATAATTTTCTTAAGATTATTATTATACATCCATCTATCCTCATTTTAGCTATTTCTACATGCTTGCAAATCCTAGAATTCCATAAGTAGCTGGATTAGATATGTATAAGAATTCTAGCAAAGCTTGGGGAAGGTGCACATGTTTATAGTAATGAACATCAATAAATTATTTTGCCATCACTAGGTCCTATATGCATGGGAAATTTATACTGTATTCCAATCCCATTAAGAGTCTCTTCTACAAACACTTGTTCATTGCAGAGTATTTTTCATAGTTGAAATCCCTCTAGGCAAGTCTCTACTGATCAATAGCTTTGATATCCAACAGATGCGAGAGGTCGTTAATGTCTCCCTAGAGTGTGGCATCATGTAGAATTTCATTTATTGCAGTGTTGATCCAGGAATTTCTTATCCCTGCTAGTCTTGGTCCCAAGAGTTCGGAACATCTGCCTCTTGCCATTTTCTGACTTTTAATGTATTTTTAAAAAATGTATTACTATGAGTAGACTTTTTTCTCTGAGAAGTAAGTATATGTATAGACGCATAATTGTCATCAATGGAAACAGCTACATTCATCAATCCTAATGGGGATATTATGCACCACCCATCCAAGAAACTCAGCATCAAAAAGTGCATTTGTTTTAAGTAAAAAAAAAAATTCATCTCATTTTACTTCTCATTCTTTTATTTAAGTGTTCATATTTCATAAATCATATAATTACTCTGGGACAGGTCCTGTTCTGGGTCTCTAATCTGCTAATACTCAGATCTTTCCTTATGCAATTCAGTATACCAAATTCTAGTGCGAGTAACATTTTGTCCTTATAAATGGCATTCTGAGCCCAAGGACATAAAAATTGCATTTCTCAGAAAGCTTGCAAATAGTGTTTACCTCATCTTAAACACTACCTATTGCATGTTATCTAGAACGATATTATAGGAACTTGGCACTTCTCCCCATTTTACAGACAATTCTCATCTCTCCATTTCTCTCTCTCTCTCATCACAATCTGTATGTCTGTCTTAGATGAGACCATGATACAACAACTTGGAAGCAGGTAGGTTATTTGAGAGATGATTCCAGATAGGGAGTGGGAAAGTGAAGTAGGAGAAGAGAAAATACAATAGAGTATATTGGTGAGTGGCTTACCATTCTAAACAACTGGAACTCAAAACCACAAGGGACTCTCTGAGAAACAATCAAGCTTTTCTAGCCAAGCCTGGGGAGTCTGAGGTCATTTATCCATTGACTCCCATCCTCCTGGTGGTAAACATTGACACCGGCAGCTTTAGCTCTCTTACAGTTTTGAGTTGGACTTGCAGGTCAGACCAAGCCTGTATGGCCAAAGCAAACATTGAAGCAAAGTAGAGAGACAGAGACACGGTCACCTAGCTGATAACTATCCACTAGAACTGCAGGTGAGCTCATTCAAAGATAGGACAAGGAAACATGGATTGGAACAAATACTGCCTGCTGCACTATCAATGTATGATTATAATGAATGGCAATCCTTGGCTATCTATGTAGGTATAGAATATGTAATGCAAGGAGAGAGAAGTGGAAGAAGCCTTATAACTTTTCTGAAACAATAAAATTCTCATGTTAAAACTAGCAGCTTCTTATTTTTCTGGATGCTGCAGAGTTTGCATTGGAGTGAAAAAGTGGACAGAGTGGACAGGTCCTAGGATTCTAATTCCAGGATCACAGGTTTATTCCTTTTGTAGTTCTGCTGGTCAGGTACACCACTAAAATTCCGTCTGCCATGAAGTAAGCTGAAACTTCTCTAGATCCTCCAAATAATTAGTCTTTTAAATCAGGTGTTTGTGGTTATTATTAGCTCATTAATGTTTCAGTGCACTGATTAACATTTTAATAAAATTTTTGGAAAACTTTATTATAATCTGCCTATATTATATATATAGGTGTAGGTATATTTGATATATCTATGTCTCTCTTTCTCTCTCTCTCTCTACACACACACACACACACACACACACACGTATAGACATAGATAAACCAAAATCTCAACTCCATGGCCTTTGACTTTTGCACTGGATTTCCATTGCCTTTTTATTAGATTTTAATTTCCAAGATTTTAAATTTCCATTGAATTTTAATTTCTAAGAGGATAAAGATATTGTGGTGTTGTTGTTGTTTACTACATATCACCTGAATGTTTATCATACTATTTGTTTTCAAGTACTATATATGATGATCTAATAGATTTTTCCTAGTCTGTATGAGATATTTAGATACAAAACCTGAGGGTAAGGCCATCTTCGGGCTTCAACAGAGTAATCTGACTAGTGCAGAAATGTCCAAGAGTGCTCTTTTTTTCTCATGTATTTAGCTACTCAATTTATATATATATATATAATATATATATAATTATATATAATATATGTTATATATATAATTATATATATGTTATATATATAATTATATATAATATATGTATATATATAATGTTTTATATATATATATAAAATATATTTCCAGAATGGTTTTTGCTAAGAAACAATAAATTTTATTATGTGTATCAGGTAGAGCTGCTGTCCCACTTCACTTTACCTTGTGGACACTGGGGCCTCCTTGCAGATCCAGGCCACCAGTGCTAGTGACAAGTCACCATGTCACTACAATTGCCAAATCTGACAGACCCAGGGAGGACACCTGATCCAAGTTAGGCCATTCAGATTCTATCTCCTTAGAATGTGGAATTTTAATTGTATCACTTGCCTTGTTGCTGTATCATGTTAGCAATAGTGTACTACAGAAATTCTTGCTTCTAATGGCCTTCTCAAGGTTATATAATTCGTCAAATATTTTTTAAAATTTTCAGGAGCCTGCCAATAATTTTATTTTGTTTTACACACCCTTGCTTTTGCTTGTTTCAATGCATGTTTCTCTCTTTTCTTAACTGCATTTAGCCAATGCTGTTTGTTTTTACTTTCAATAAAAAAAGTTCAACTACTGGATAGAACTTTTATTTTATTTATAAAGTATTTTCATAGCTAATATTTACCTGATCCCAAATAAGACATGAAAAAATAGCATTTTTAGTTACTGGTGAAGCTCAGCTCAAGATGCTGTGGAGACTGCCAAATGTCAAACAGAAACACTACTTTCCTCCTGTCGTCGTTTTTAGTTTTTTTGTTTGCTTGTTTTAACATCTCATAGCAGCTGATGAGACTCAAGGTCAAATCTAAGAAGTACCTGGAGATGTTTTCTTATCATTCCTTTTTTTCAGATGAGTAAGCTGAGTTTCAGAGAGGTAGTAATTTTTCACTGGTCTCTCTATTCTTCTGGTTATTGACTGAACTGACAAATCATAAGACCACAGATAATGTAGAAATATCTTGTCCTTCTATGCCAGGGAAAGAAAGCAGTGATCTTTGGCCCTTTTCCTCTACTTTATGACAGAATATACATTGGATAGTCTTTACTTAAAAGTCTTCCAGAAAATCTTTCTATTTTTGACACTATGGATGAAACTTGAGGACATTATGCTAAATCAAATGAGCCAGTTATAGAAGAACAAATACTGCATGATTCCACATATATGAGGCATTAAAACCAGTCAAATTTATAGAAGCTAAAAGTAGAATAGTGGTTGCCAGAGGCTAAGGGAAGCATGAGGCAGGAGTTGCAAGGAGTTCGGAAGTTATTATTTAACAGGTATAACATTCCAGGTAAGCAAGATTTAAAAGCCCTAGAGATCTGCTATACAACATGCTTATAGGTAACGATACTATATTGTAAATGATAAAGGTGCCAAGAATACACATTGAGGAAAGACAGTTTCTTCAATAAATGGTGCCAGGAAAATTG
Organism: Homo sapiens; assembly: GCF_000001405.40. Taxonomy (NCBI): domain Eukaryota; kingdom Metazoa; phylum Chordata; class Mammalia; order Primates; family Hominidae; genus Homo; species Homo sapiens. Next base: position 137,689,438 of record NC_000008.11, on the reverse strand, counting down.
AATATCCACATTCAAAAGTATGAGATTAGATATCCATCTCTCACCATATTAAAAAATCAACTCAAAAGGGATTAAAGACTTAAGTGTAGACCCCAAAACTATGAAACTACTAGAAGAAAACAGGCAAAACACTTCACAACATTGAGCTGGGCAAGGATTTTTTTTCAAAAAAATAAGGACCTCAAAAGCAAAAGCAACAAGACAAAAAATAGACAAATAGGATTACATCCAACTAAAGAACTTTTTCACAGCGAAGGACGTTGATAACAGAAGAAAGAGGCAACCTGTAGAATAGGGGAAAATGTTTGCAAACTATACACCTAACAAAGGAGTTAATATCCAGAATATATCAAAAAATATACACAACTCAACAGAAAACCCCAGGAAATCTGATTTAAAAATGGGCAAAATAGCTTATTAGACATTTCTCAAAAGAAGTCACACAAATAGCTAGCAGGTATATGAAAAACATGCTCAAAATTGCTGATTATCATGGACATGGAAATCAAAACCACAATAAGATACTTCACTTATACTAGAACTGCTATTATCCAAAATACCCAATAAAGCAAGTCTTGGTGAGGATGGAGAAAAAGGAACATTGGTATACTGTTGGTGGATTTGAAAATTAGTACAGACAATATAGATGTTTCTTAAAAAATTGAAAACAGAAAAAGATCCAGCAATTCCCACTAATGGGTGTATATCTAAAGTAAATGAACTATGTCAAAGACATATGTGCCTTCCCATGTTTATTTCAGCACTGTTTGCAAAAGCCAAAATACAGACTCAACCTAAGTGCCCAATAATGAATGGCTAAATAAAATGTGGATTATGTGTTTATATAGATGCATACATATACAATGGAATACTATTTAGCCATAAAAAGTATGAAATCCTGTCATTTGTAACAACATGGATGAACCTGGAAGTCACAAAGTTACATGAAATAAGCCAAACACATAAAGAAAAATACCATATGTGGAAGCTAGAAAATAAAGAAAATTGATATCATGTCTATAGAGAGTATAACAGTCATCACCAGAGACTGGGAAAAGGAGGGGGAAAAGAGGAGGTGGGTCAACAGGTCCAAAGTTGCAATAAGATGACAGGAATAAGGTCTGGGGCTGTATTTCACAGAACAGTGACTATGCTTAACAGTAAGGTATTGTGCATTACAAAATGGCCAGAGGAGAGGCTTTTGAGTGCTCTCACCACAAACAAGCGATAAATACTTGAGGCAATGGATATACTAACTACCCTGATTTGATCATTGTACAACATATGCAAGTATCAAATTGTTAAATTATACCCCATAAATATGTATAATTACATGACAATTAAAATTTTTTTAAATTGTTAGTAGGGTAGAATTCATATTATGTGTTCTTACCATAATCAAATAAATAATACAGCAGTGGTTTATTTGTCTTTATATATTTATGATGATACTGCTCCATTAAATTAACATCTCATACGAACACAAAAATAATGCAACAGTAAGGTATTGTATTAAAATTCCAGATGTGGGCCTAAGAAATTCTGCTTGAGGAAGGAAAAACAACTCATTCTGAGGAATCAGATTTATGTCCTGCAATGGAGTATCAAGTTATAAAATTCTTAGAAGGAACTGACATTATTCTTAACAAATGAAAGGAGTAATTAACATTTTTTTCTGTTTTTTTTCCATAATTTTCCTCTTAAACCAATTTATTAAATATGTGTCATGAATGGTAGAAATGGTTCAAATGGCTCTGGTAAAAATTTAAGAAATCAAAAATTACATAGACACACCCTTTAAACAAAAGGCATCAATATTCGTTGCAGTTGAACATATATTGATACCTCTTAGTGCACCATTAGCTATATTCGAAAGATAAAATATGTGTTTATGGATAATTTGTAAGCACTTTTTTTTAGCTTTCTTCCAAAAACACTCTTGCAATAACACAACATTAAGGACAAAAGACTGGCTAAGATCGAAATTTTCATCAGAGAAGAAGATTCTACTTGAACATTCAGGGACTAGAACAGACGTTGGACTTCATTTTCCTTGGGGTGGGATGGAAGCTCTGAGGTCAGTGAAAGAAGGTTGGTCTCTCTTACCCTTTTGCTCCCAGTTAACACTCACACCCTTGATGTAGAATATAGGAGAAAAGATAGAAGAAAATTTAGAAACATACATATGTCTTCCAATATAAGACAGGGCACCCAAAAGTCATAAGGGAGAAAACTGATATATTTGATTACAAAGACATCATCCCCACATTTATGAATGCACAGCTAAAAATAATATAAAGTCAAAACACAAATTATGGATTGTAGAAAATATTTGCCTCACATAAAATTTAAAAAAATAATATTTTAATAATAATTACTTGCTACATTGATATGAAGAAGGCAAAGAAGTCAAGATAAAAATGAGAAAGGATGTGAACAGAGAAAACACTGAAATAAATGTAAATTGTGTAAAAATATAAGAAAGAAAGCTCAACCTCAAGTAGCTAGAGAAATGCAAAGTATGAAATCGATTATAATTTTCTAGTCTTTTTTTATTCAGATCGAACATACTCGGAGTCTTTACCTCTTCATTATATGACATGATTTATTATATGTCCTTCATACACCCTTATGCCCTTATATGAATATGCCCTAGTTTACTAAACTCCAGGAGTATTTGTACCTTGAAGAATAAATAATAGCCATGATATTCCTACAGGACCTGAAATATTTTCTTTTTAATCTCACCTTAGTCTAATATCTACTTTTGTCTTTCTGCTACCATCTAACAATTTTTTTAACGATGTCTCAGACATTATTTTTTCTTAATGTATTAAAAATGTCTCAGTATCCTATCCTCTACTTATAATGGTCTTCCCTGTCTTTTCTTCCAGCTAACTCCACCCATGACCTCAAATACAACCTCATGATTTAGGTAAAATATTATGCTTGGATGTTCAAATCACCTGGTATTTCTTCTCCACAGCAATGTGTACACTTTTATTTAAATAACTAATTACTTGCATATCAAACCATGAAGAGAGGTTATCTTTTAAAAGGGGTTACATCAGTAGATAGTGTTGATAATTTGGTTGTATTTGAATCTTTTCAGTGAAAATATATTTGTCAATTATATAAGCAGTTTTATTTTATGCAACTTATTTTCTGACATAAAAGTTTAAACTCCCACTAACATAATGCACCATGAGGTCTTGGATTGTTTTCTATTGTTTACCTATGTATTTCCAGGACTTAGCATATGCCCTTGCGTGCAGTAAATGCTCAATAATACTTATTGACTCTCTAACACCAGAGGCTTATTGTGCTGCAAACAATGCAGTGTAGAGTGAAACGATCATCTCATTTTGAGACCCGTGCTTTTTCTATTGTTTGAACACAAAATAGCTTTTATTCTATGATAGCTACATCCAACTGCTGATTTATTTGCACCTCCATTTGAGTAAATTCTTAAGACTTTTGAGATGTCTATGCTAACATTTTCTTGAAACAGGCTCTGTGAACTCAAATAGAAAATGTTTATTCTCTTAGTAAATGTTTATGGAATACCTCCAATGTGCCAGGACCTGTACTAGGTGCTGGGAATGTGGAATAATTGAAACAAACTGCCTTCATTTAAGAAGATTTCATTTTACTGGAGGACCTGTAGACTTAAAAAGAACTTTATATCTATCATTTGTTCTTTTTTGTTTGGTTGTGTACTGTGCCTTTCTGGTAATTAATCAAGAAAGGGCTAAGATACTCCATTTGAATTTTAAAGTACAAGTGAAAAATAAAAATGCACTGGGATACCAATCAATCACATTGCAGTTGATTTCCTGTCACTGAATGTGACCTTGGGACAATCCATTAACCTCTGTGAATACTGGGGATGCATTTATTTCCAATATGTTGTACTCTTTTGTGGCTATGAAATTCATTATGAAGACACAAAAGAGAAATGTGTATCTATGGGTAATCTCATGATAAAACAATCCATGTGTTAAAACTAAGCACCTATCTTTTATTTCAGTGATTTATCCATACACTAAAGATATGAATGAGGCATCAAAAGACAGAAGAAACGATTGAGGCTATAAAACTTGCCAACTACCTTGACCTTAGCCCAGTGGAACAGAATTCAGACTCCTGACCACAAGAATGGTGAGATAATAAACTTGCGTTGTTTTAATCATTAAGTTTGTGATGATTTGCTATAGAGGCCATAGGAAACTCATACAATATATGAAGAAAAGACCCCAATAATTCACAGAAACCCATCACTGCCTAGAGTTGTTAGTTTGGCCGGGTATCTTACTACTCTAAGTTTTGCTTTCCTTATTTGCAAAATATGCATCATATGAATGCTGTGTACCTCAAAATACTGTGTTGAGGATTCAAAGAGGTTTTGTCTGTGCATCATAAACCTATACATGATAGCTACCTGTTAGTAGTATCCCTGACATAATTCTATGGGACAACTTTTCTAAAACTCATTGGTAACTGTCTGATGTGTGCCCATGGTAGAGGGAAGGTCAATTTAATATCCCATTCACTGAAACACGAAAACACACTCTGCAGTTCCCAGGGTGATGGCAGAGCCCTCTCATCAGTAGGGGTGCCATAGTGAACCTCCAGGGAATCTATCACCCATTGCCTGGGCAAGCAGCCAGGTAGAGTTGGAGCCAGCGTTTAAATCCCACTATTGTCTAAATCGCTCATTCAACTTTTTTTTTCAAATATAATTCCAGTCCCTGTGCTAGGAACTGGCCTTCTTTAAGGCAGATATCTTGCCTGCTGGGGATTTAGATAATCAGGTGAAGCCCACATGTCAATACAATTGTGCACCATGTAATGACCTTTCCAGTCAATGACAGACCACATAAAGGACAGTGGCCCCATAAGATTACAATGGGGTTGAAAGATTCCTAACACCTAGTGACATTGTGGTTACCTTAATGTCTAACACAAAGCATTACTCACATGTTTGTGGTGATGCTGATGCAAATAAGCTTGCACTGCCAGTCATAGAAAATTCAGTGTGTAAAATCATATATAATATATAATACTTAGTAATGATAATAAACAACTATGTTACTGATTTATGTATTTACTATACCATAATTTTATTGTTAGTTAAAGTGTACGCCTACTTATTAAAAAAAGTTAACTGTAAAACAGCCTCAGGCAGGTCCTTCAGGAGAAGGTATTATTATCCTAGGAGATAGCAGCTCCATTCATGTCACTGACCCTGAGAGACTTCCAGTGGAACAAGGTGTGGAGGTGGAAGACAGTGATATGTATGATCTTGACCCTGCATAGACCTAGGCTAGTGTGTTTGTCTTAGATTTTAAGATTCTAAGAAATATTTTTAGTAAATACATATATTGTAAAATAAAAAACTTATATAGTAAGTATATAAAGAAATAAAATATTTTTGTTCAGCTGTACAATGTGTTTGTGTTTTGAGTGAAATGTTATTATGAACGAGTTGAAAAGATAAAAAAAGTTTATGAAGTAAAAACAGTTACAGTAGCTAAGGTTAATTTACTATTGAGGAAATAATTTAAAGAATAAATGTAGTGTAGCCTAAGTGTTCAGGGTTTATAAAGTCTGTGGTAATCTATAGCAGTGTCCTAGGACTTCACCATTCACTGACTCACCCAGAGCAACTTCCAGTTCTGTAAGCCGCATTCATGGTAAGTACCCTATCCAGGTATACCTTTTTTATCTTTTTTTTTTTTTTTTTAGCTTTTTTAATCTATACTCTTTTTTTCTCATTCTTTTTTAAATTTTTTTATTATTATTATACTTTAAGTTTTAGGGTACATGTGCACAATGTGTAGATTAGTTACATATGTATACATGTGCCATGCTGGTGTGCTGCACCCATTAACTCGTCATTTAGCATTAGGTATATCTCCTAATGCTATCCCTCCCCCCTCCCCCCACCCCACAACAGTCCCCAGAGTGTGATATTCCCCTTCCTGTGTCCATGTGTTCTCATTGTTCAATTCCCATCTATGAGTGAGAACATGAGGTGTTTGGTTTTTTGTCCTTGCGGTAGTTTACTGAGAATGATGATTTCCAATTTCATCCATGTCCCTACAAAGGACATGAACTCATCCTTTTTTTTAATCTTATATAGTGTATTTTTACTGTACCTTTCCTATGTTTATATATCTTTAGATTCACAAATATCTCCTATTGTATTACAGTTGTATTTAATACTGTACTAAATATCTACTATTGTGTTACAGTTGTATTTAGTACAGTATTTAGTACTGTACTAAATATTTAGTATAGTATTTAGTACTGTACTAAATATTTAGTATAGTATTTAGTACTGTACTAAATATTTAGTATAGTATTTAGTACGGTAACATGCAGTATGGGTTTGTATCCTATAGGCAATAGGCTATACCAGATAGGTGTATGTAAGTACACTCTGTGATGTTCACAAAATTAAAAATTGTCTAACGGCACATTTTTTTCTGATCACATTCCTGATGTTAGGTGGCAAGCTATGCCTGGCTATAGCTAAATATTCTGTAAATCTCTATAGTAATTCACTGAAACTCTGTGCCTCACTTTTCACACCTGTAAGATGAGGCTGATAGACAGAGGAAGGACCTTTGAGGTGACACATGTAAAATGCTCAGAGCAGTAATTGACACATAATAAATGCTAGGTTAGTGTTTGTTATTGTTGCTGTTGTTGTGTGCTATGATTAGTCCCAGTGAAATATAAATCTGGGGCTCTACAGGAGCACAAAGACAAAAAAATCCAATCCCATCTTGGAGTATCAGGAAAGGTTCCAGGGAAAGAAATGTACAAAATTGGATCAGAAGAACGAAGTACTAATTAGTATGGTAAAGAATGTTAGGAAAAGGAGGAGAGGCAGAATGGAACAACACTTGTGAAGGTTTAGGGCTCTGTGTCCGTGTGCCATGCGTACATGTGCGTGTGTGTGTGTGAGAGAGAGAGAGAGATAGAGAGAAAGAGAGAGAGACAGAGTGTGAGCTTGATTGGTTTAAAGTACCGCTAAATTTGTTTGAAATACCTCAGGTGTTTCTAAAACCTCCTACCATGAAGAGTGGCCTCTTTTGCACATGGATGGACCAAAGATGTCCATTCATTTTTTAATGGATTATAATGAGTATCAGTACCAACGACACTGGCCTCAAGGGACTCTCTGAATCTCTAGAACATTATGGAAACATGCATTTTTTGTGTGTGCTCTCAACGTAACCGCACACTCTTTGGTGGTATGTAAAGTTCCATTTATAGTCACCTGTATTTTTATTCCCATGTCTTCAGCTGTAGGAGTAACTGCATCATGTGACTAAGTGCAGGTGCAGTGATGGGAGGAGAGTGACGTCCACCATCTGTGTCAGAACCCAAGTTTCTAGGGACTGTGAACCTTGCTATGACAGAACAGGATGAAGGGTGTGTTAGGTTGTGTTCCCCAAGGACAAAGATGGAGATATGCAAGCAGTGTTTATTGGGGTGTGCTCCCTAGGTTAGTATCTGTATAGAAGTGAAGGGAGCAGAAACAAACAGAGAGAGAAGGTGCACCATGATGCACTTGCAGCAGGACCTCAGCCCATCCCCTGTGGCACGCTAGAGCTGAGACCACCCTGTAGAGATGCTCTCCATTTAGGCCAGGGAGTGGCCTCTATGCCTACATCTGTAGTCATGGCAGGAGGCTCTCTTGGGGAAAGAGTGTACATTTTGGGTGAGGCAGCTTCCTTTAGTGGATGGTAATTCTTAGGGATAAGCCCTACTCTTATAATGATAGCCATATTGGAACATGTTCAAAAGAGAGAAAAATGTCCTGAAATGACTCAGAGGGTATTTGTGGAAGCTGTCTTAAGTAAGCAAAGAGTTGTCATTTATAAGAAAAATTGATTTTGTTCACTGTGGTCAAAGAAGTTAAGTGCAGTAAAAGTGAGTAGACAATTCAGAAAAATATATTTGAGACCACTGTCTAGAACTTTCACTTAATCTGAATGTTCCCTAAGAAAGCATGGTCTGCCAAAAGACAGTAAACCATGGTGGATGTTTTCATCATAAATCTCATCAGCTACATTTTGTAGATGTCACATAGAGGCAGCAAATATAATCAGGATGAATTTAATCATGATAAAATTTGAGGCAGTTGGAACTCACTGAATCTTAAGACCAATTTAATAACTAAGAGAGAGACACGTTTTAGAAAGCCAGGGAAAGTCATTTTCATAAGTGTTCAAATTGCAGATTCATCCACTGGGCTCTGAGGGTCAGATAAGTGGTCCTTTAGCAATTTGGACTCTCATACAATAGCTATTTTAAAAGAGAACTGACATACACAAATTAATAGAAACCTTTGGGAAAATTGATAATTTGTTTCAATTTAGTTTATGAAAATAATCCCCTTTATGAATAAACCATGAATAGTCATTAAGAAGTGTTGAAAATATTATGCCCCTTTCTAATATTTACTTTTAAAATCATTACTATGAATTGGTATAAGGTTAAAATTATGTATATAATTGCATAATTTTTGTATTTTCCAATATCCATTCAAATCAAACAATTATAATATATAAGAAAATGTATTTGTATTTATTTCTCTTATTAGTGTATTTACTTTAATGAACACTTTTATTGTATTTATTTTTATTAGATAATAAAAAAGAAACTTCTGCATTTGTGAGAAAAACAAAGAGATATTATAATGCGAAGAAAAGTTGAAGTAGAGCCAGAAGTGAAATCCCAAGATGACTTCAACAATTGACCCAAGAAAATCATACTGATTTGATTCAAAGCTGTAGAGAGCTTCAATGTTTTATTTAGGGGAAAGTCAGGCTTTCTTGATTCCTCACCCCAAATTAATCATTTTGGGTTACAATCGGTAATAATCGAAATCATTAACCCTCTTTATGCCTTTAGGAGCTGGGTTCTTAAGTGGCATGTGAAATACGAAGATGGAATTGAGGAGGTTTACCAGTGAGGAAAAAAAAAATACGTAGTTTGTGTAAGAAAGAAATAGGGCACTTGTTCTGGATAGATGAGATGAAACTATGCTATAAAGTTACCTGAGGAGGCGGAAGCCATAAATGAGTGGATTCCCAATCAGCTGGTTGAACAGAGTCTTTGGTGAAGATAAGGGAAACTTCTGAGTACTATATACCCTTTTTTTCTATTCTTAAATTTTTATAGGCCCTGCAAAGCAGCCCATTTCTATTTTCAGACATAGGATAAATTAAAGTTCAACATGATGAAAATAATACATGTCCAAAATTCCTTATCTAAAACTCCTGGGTCCAAATGAGTTTTGGAGTGAAGTCTTTTCAAGATTCAGAAAGATGATATGGAACATAGAGTATATATTAGGTAACTCGCCCAATGTAGTCCAGAGCATCACCCTATAATGGAACATAAGGATATCTAGGTGTCAAAAATATATAGATTTTCCTAATGAATGGGAAAATAGACTATAAATAACCTTCATGCCAGTTTTGCTGAAATACAAAGTCCCACAAAACTCAGCAGCTTAAAACAATAAAAGTTAACAATTTTATTCTATCTGTTGCATATGTTGCATAGATGATGGTTTGCATGCAGTTTGATATCCAGTTGTATCCAGTTTACAAATGGTCTGGTTCAGAGGATTCAAGACATCTACTTCACATGTCTGGTGCCTTGTCAGTGTTCCTAGAAGACTGGCTTCATCTGATCAACCAGAGCACCTCCATGAGTCCCTGTTGCATAAGTGATCTAAGCTTGGTAAGACTTTTTATATGGTATTTCAGGAATCTCAGAAAGATTGTTGGTAGAAGCAGCAAGCTCTCTTAGCACCTAGGTTTGAAAGTCTCAGATCCTTATTTGCTCAACACTCTTGATCAGGCAAGTCGCTAAGTCCAGGTTAGTATAAATTGGAGGGAAATTAATTCTTACATATCAATGGGAAGTCTACCAAAAACTTTGTGTCCATCTACATTTTACCAGAGTCTGGCCTCTGGTCACACATTATTTATTTCCCCCAACATGAAAAATACACTTATCCCCCCTCCAATTTACCTGAACTCTCATCCCATTATGCCACCAAAGTGTAAGAGCCTTGTCATTTAAATCAGATACCACCCATATGTGGATGAGGCTCCCGTAGTGCAGATCCTCAAGTATAGTCATTGAGTATAATTCCTTTCATTTTAAAGACTCACCAACTAAAGATACACGTATCTGCCCCCAACCCAACTAATATAATATGGTGATCGAAGGGTAGGAGAATTGCAATAGACAGTACTATTCAAAATGTGAGAAAAAGTAACACATAGCAGTCACTAGTTCGTAACCAATTATGAAACTCAGTTGGCGTATATTGCCAGCCACTTCATTAAAATCCAGTACTGCTCCTTGGGATTCATTCTGCGATCTTGGCTCCATTCTCTGGGGCCTTGATTCAGCCCTCTGTGTTACCCCTCCATTCACATAAGATACGTCCCACATCTGTAGCTAAGTAGACTTACCACATTATATCCTGCCAATAGAAGTTCCGAGGTTCTGAATATTTTGTGGTATTTTGTTTTGTTTAATGGTGAACCTTTTCTGTCCCCTTCAGTCCAAGCTGATCATGCTTTCACCAATACAATATTCAAAAAACTGTAGTCTTTCTTTTAATCTTGTTGAGATTAACTCTATTGGACAAAATCCATGCCCAGTGATTTCCTTGTGATAGACCTCTCTATGGCTTACCTGAAACTCAGTATGCTGTGGAACAATGGTTTCAAGAGCCTTAGAAACCTGTCTGTCTAGTAGACAGGGTCTATGTGGCACACTTTCAGATCTATCTGAAGTTTGATAAAGGACCTTATAGCTATAGGCTTTAGATTGGGGGTGGCAAACTATAGCCCATAGGCCAAATTCAGTCAGTCATATGTTTTTGGATATAAAATTCTATTAATACAGTTGTTCCTTGGTATCCATGGGGATTGGTTCTAGGACCCACCACAAACACCAGAATCTAAGGACTCTTCTATAAAATGGCATAGTATTTACATATAACCTGCCCATATCCTCCTGTATATTTTAAATCATCTCTAGGTTATTTATAATATATAATACAATGTACATACTATGTAAATAATGGTTATATTTTTTCATTTGTATTATGATATTGTTTTATTATTTGTATTTTTATTGTTGTATTATCATTTTTTGGTGCCCTTTGTATTCAAATATTTTCAATCTATCATAGGTTGAACACAAAGATGAGGAACCCATGGATACTGAGGGCCAAATATATACCCATGTTAATTCAATGTCACATTGCCATAGATGCTTTCACATTAAAATTTCAGAGTTGAGTATTTGCAACAAAGATAATATGGCCTGAAAGCTCAAAATATTTACTCTGGCTTTTTATTTTTAAAAGAGTTAATCAATACTTGCTTTAGGTTATCTTAATCCTGAGTTTTTGGCAATCTAGAGAATCTACGTATAATAATGGGACTTATTTTCTAAACATAACAAATCATTTTATATTTCTTTTCTATTTCTTGCTTTGAAACAAAATGGTTCCTTTTTAAAAAATTATTTCTCTTTATCCATGTCTTGTCATATCTGGCTAAAAACATAAAAAACTAAACAGAAAACACAAAAGAATGGACAGAACCCATTCACACTATCAAGATAAACAGAAACCTTTTTAGCTAGATCTACCAGCTAATTAGGTGTAACTTCTATTTTCCACACAACCACAGGGAACAATGTCACTGAATTTCAACTTTCACATAATGAGGGTTGTTTCACCAGTCTGTAGTAATAAATTCCTTCTCATCCTTCCAGTCATACCAAATCTCTTTGAGACTCTTCTTGCTTTCATTAGTACTGCCCAACAAAGCAGATATTATTTTTAAAATGTAGGAGACGTGATTGACTCCAGATCACACAGAAACTAGTGTATAATCAAAGACTAGAAAACTGAGAAATAATAGACACTGGAGAGTTGGAAGAAGTGAGAGGGTGGGAGTAGGTGAGGGATGTGAAATTACTTAGTGAGTACCGTGTACATTGTTCAAGTGATAGTTACACTAAAACGCCAGGCTTCACCACTAACCAACATATCCATGAGAAAAAACTGCACTTGTATCCTTGAAATTTACACAAAAAAGAGAAATGCTGAGTTTTGATCTAAAGCTCTTTATAGATGATAGTGATGCCTCTATTTTGTTAAAATTACTACTACTGCCACTATTATTTTAGCTATTGTTGAGCTTATTTGTCCTCCTATCTGCAATATTCTTATCCCTACCTAGACTCAAATATTAGAGCCATAGCCAGACAGTGTCATATAAACTGGATGGTAATGGAAGAGAATTATGGAGATTAAAGCAGGGGTTTCAGAAGAGAAAATTATGGAGAGAATTGACTCTCCATCATGAACATAAAAAGAAAAATGAAACCATTAGTTAAAACCTTTCTAATCATGGGAGATTCTGATGGCCATTCCTCTCAAATGCACTCATATTAACCTCATATTCCTGCTAGGCAGATAGACCCTGCAAAGATTCAGAATGCACCTCAGAGAAACAAACTCACTCTGTACCCTCATTAGTCCAATGATCCAGAAAGTCAAAGGTCTGTGGTTCTGACATTTGATTGATAAGAATAATATGCTGAGTATTTCCAACTGTGCTAATATGTTGATATTTGACTTTTTAAGAAAAAAACACAAAATATTTTTCTTTTCTTAAAGGGAAAAGCAAACAGCTGTTTTCTGATCTGCTAAAAGAAATTATAGTATTTCCCATTACCACCACATACTTTATGGATCTGGGTTATTTATTGACCCACAAAATCTCAGTTCAGATGCAGCATCTGGCTGCTCAATGAAGTCTTACATTTTACATAGTTTTCCACCTGGACTCACTAGAAAATACAAATCTAGACTTGATATAAATGCCAACTACTCCTTTATGTCAGAGTAATTTATTTTCAAACATTTGTAAAACTGTTAGGCTACCAAGATCCTCTAAATTACGTTAACGTCTCTGCCCCGACCCCCACTTTCCATGCTATCTTTATCCCAGTATGAATTCTAGCAGTAACTTGCAATTCTAGAAGAGAGTGAAAGTGAGAAATATGTAATTAAGAGCAGAAGGTGTTGTGCAGACAAGGCAACAATATCCTAATTCCTGAGCCTTGTTCTTACCTGTCTTCTACCTTTCACTGTTGAGCTCACTGCTATTGGCCTGTATGTGCAATGCTTCGTAGATCCCTTTTTGCCTTTTCTTCGCAGGAGAGTTCTAAGGAGTTGTAGGAGGTTTGCCCACAGGTTCAGAATTTGTGTACTGGTTATGAGCCTAAGATAAAATAAACACACGCAATTCAATTGATTAAAATGAATGCTCAGGTATTTGTACCTGACTTTCTGTTCTGTTTAATAGTCTTTATCCTTACTAGAGTGAAATCTTCATGAGGAGATATTTCATACAGAAATATGTCTGTATTGCTTATTACCACAGCCACGGTGCTTAGCATCTGGCTTACTATATAAAGGTTCATTAATATGTGAAATAAAATGAACAGTAATGCTGTTTTTTTTTTTAAAGTAATGACATAATGAGGCATTCACTTCCTTCCCGTTTTCTATTTTCCTCTCTATTACTGAATACCTGATTTTAAGCACTGACCTTGCACACAACTGATGGCTTTCTGGCCCCTGCATGTCATCTCAAATGGATATTTACTTAATGTACTGTCTTCCTGCAAAGTTAAGACACCACACATTCACTGTATCTGTCCAGCTCAATACCTGAAAGACCAAGTGCTTTCCTGATGTGACTCAATGCTTACCTCTTGGGACTAACTATTCCACTCCCTATACCTTTTCCTGTCATCAGCTATTTAAATCTATGCTAGTTACTCTCATTGGCCTCTTGGTGAACTCCAGATCTCAGGGACTTACAAAGTTTCTCCATCTCACCTAACCCACCCTTTGCCAGCAGTCCATGTAAAATGTTAGGGTACTTGCAAAACACCCTTATCAGCTTTCACACGGGATGTTAGAAGTCACTTACTGGATACCACCCCAAGGTAGAAGAAAATTAGTGTGATGTAATCCTCTAATAACTAAAATCTCAGAACAAAACGAATCCGTAAGCCCTGTTAATGATATTTGTTAGCTGCATGATCTTGGATTGTGCTAGTTCACTCTATTTAAACATACATTCCTCATAAGAAAGAATGAAAATAACAATAATATCTTGTTTGAAGATTAAATGACTCAGTATCTATAAAAGTCCCCAGAGCACTTTTAAGTGCCTGACACACAATTAACACATAATATGTTTAATTGATGTTAAAAATTATAAAGCACATATTTCTATTTAATACATTTTAGCAACTATCACCACTATTCAATTTAAAAAGTTTTACCTGTTAGGGTTATTGGGAAGTTTAAGTGAGATAATTTACATAAATTCCCTAGCACAGAGCCTGCCTTGTAGTAAGGACTCATTAAATGCTAAGTAACTCAAATAAATGTTATCTGTTACTATCATTTAAAAAAATACATTTTAGTTGCATGAACTACCAATTATATTTCAGAAAATTCATCTGTCATTTAAGCCCCAGCTAATTTTACTTATATCGCTATCCCTTTTAAGTTCCATAATAATACTAACATTATGCCCTTTTATTCCCATTTCACAATTGAAGAGATTGTAGGTCACAGATTATTCACACATAATGAGCAAAGGTAAAAACTAGAATTTAAACCTCTTTCTTTTGTCGTATATTCAGAGGCATCCAATCAAAAAATCCTCCATCAAAATTCTCCCACAGTAATTATCCTGTTTCCCTAGCTTGAGGCAATGTTTTTAAAAATACAATGAAGTATATAAGCACCATTTATACTTAAACTTTAAAAAATGTAGATATAATTATAAATTCATGTGCAGTTGTGAAAAATAGTACGGAGAGATACCAAGTACAGCTTATCCAGTCTTACCCAGTGGAAAATGCTGCAAAGCTATAGTGCAATGTCAAAATCAAGATATCAACATTGATACAATTAGATAGCATTTTTTTTTCTTCTACGCAAAATTTCCTCATGTTGTTGTTTTATAGCAATACCCACATCACTCACAGCCCACAATATCTTTGACTCCTAGGAAATACAAATATTCTTCCATCTCTATAATTTTATCATTTCAATAATGTTACATAAATTGATTCATACAGTGTGTAACATTTTGAGATTGTGTTTTTATGTTTTACAATCAAATGTCTGAATATTCATCCAAGTTATTGAATGTATTAATAGTTAATTCATTTTTATTCATGAATACTATTTACAAATCATATTCAATGAGGTGTATGTGTCACAACTAACCATTCACCCATCAACGGACATCTGGGTTATTTCAAGTGTAAGTCTGTTACAAATAAATCTATTGTGAACATTCATGCTCAAGTTTTTGTGTAAACATAAGTTTTCATTTTTCTTTGGTAGACATCCAGGAGTGGAATTGCTGTGTTATATGATAATTTCATGTTCATTTATTGCGAGAAACAGGCAAACCATTTTCCAGAGTAGCTATACCATTTCATCTCCCCATTATCCATGCATCTGTGACCTAGTTTCTCCATGTCCATGTAATCACTGGTGTTGCTGCTATTTTTTTTTAATTGTTAGGCATTCTGATAGGTTTGTAGTGATAGCTAATGTTTTTAATGTGTATTTTTCTAATGTCTAATGATTGAACACCTTCATATGTTTATTGGCCATCTATACTCTTTGGTGAAGTCTCATGTCACATTTTTTTCTATTTTCAAATTACATTTTTTAAGTGTTGTCAGATATTTAATATGCTAGATACTAGTAGGGTATGTGGTTTGCAAATATTTTCTACCTGTCTGTAAGTTATGCTTTTGTCCTCAACAGTAGCAGAGCATTTGCAGAGCAAACGTTTTTGCTTTTGATGAGGTCTAGTTTGGCAATTCTTTATGTTATGGGTCAAAGTTTTCATGCCAACCTTAAAAACTTTTTACCTAGTATTCCATCTTGAAGATTTTAATTTTATTTCCTCTGAAACTTTTATAGTTTTATAGTTTATGTTGACATCTCTGGTCCATTTTGAATTAATGTTTGCATAAGTTGTGAGGGTTAAGTCAAGTCTATTTTTTCTTCCAAGCGGTCCAGCACCATTTGTTAAAAAGACTATTCTTCCTAAATTGAATTAATTTTGCATGTTTTCAAAATTCAGCTGGACACATTTGTAAGGGTTTGTTTCTGGATTCTGTCTTCTGTTCAGTTGGTCTATATGTCTATCCTCCTAGCAGTACCAACAGTTTGGAATACTAGCTATGTAATAAATCCTGAAACCTGGTAAATTTTTCCTCCTACTGTGTTCTTTTTCAGAATTGTTATGTCTTCTCATTTCTTTGCCATTCATATAAATTTTAGATAATGTTGTCCATATTTATAGAGTCCTGCTTGCATTTCAACAGGAAATGTGTTAAACCTATATATCAATTGAAGAAAAATTGAAATCTTTACTATGTCATGTCTTCCAAGCCATTAAAACAATGTGTCTTCATTTCTTTAGATCTATATTTATTTATTTATCTGCATTTTGTAGTTTTTAACATACAAGCTCTAAATATGTGTTATTAGATTTCTATCTAAGTATTTCATTTTTCTAGTGATTTTAAATGGCATTGTATTTTCAATTTTGATCTCCAGGTATTCATTGCTAGTGTATATAAATACCTTGGTTTTGGTACGTTGATCCCATATCCTGTTAAATTATTGAATTCCCTTATTAATTCTACGAGTTATTTTCAATACTGCTTGGTATTTTTTACGTGCACAATCATGTCATCTGCAAATAGAAACAATTTTATTGCTTTCAACTCCATGCCTTTGAGTTTCCTTTCTTGTCTTATATTGGCTAGAACTTTCAGTATTATGTTGAATAAGAGAGAAAAAAGAAAATGTCTTTTCCTGGTCCATGATCTTAGGGAAAAACATTATTTCTTTCACTATTAAATGTCGTGTTATCTTTCGTTTTTATGGAGATGTACTTTATCAGGCTAAGGTGGTTCACTGCTAACCCATTTTTCTGAGAAATACATTCAGAAATGGATATTGAATGTTGTCAAATACTTTTTCTGTATCAGTTGATATGATCTTGTTATCTTTTCATTACTTTTCAAATATTGAATGAGTCTTACATCTGTGGACTTAACTCCCTTGGTCATTTTATATAATTATTTTTACATATTAATTAAATATATTTACTAATATATTTAAGTGAATACTACCTTTTATTTAACTATGCATGGTCAAAACATTATCATTCAATACCTCATTAATATAAAATTATTGAGATTGCTTACATTTTTATACATGTTTTTATCTTAGGGTTTAGTTCATTTTTTTTGTTGTTACTTTTTCAGGGCTAGCTGGCTTTCTTTTTTCCTTTCTTTGTCATCCTTTGGGTTACTTGAACTTTTAAAAATAAATTTTATTTTGATTTATTGATGGTGTTTTTGCGTACATCCCTTTGTATGGTATTTTTTAAAAGCAACTACATTTTATTATTTCTCAGTCTTCCATGAGCTGACTGGGTGATTTATCTGCTGGCCTCACTGTGTTTATTCCAGCAGTTGCCATCAGATGGTGGATTGGCTGGGGCCTCAGCTCAGCTAGGACTGCTGGGTGGCTGGCCTCTCTCTCCATGTGGTCTTTCATCCTGGGTTTCTCCACATGGTGGTCCCTTGGCAGCATTCCAAGAGGGCAAAAATAGAAGCTCTAGAGGCCTTGGCTATTGAGCTCACACAATGCGATTTCCACCTTATTCTATTGATTAAACATGCCACAGATAAGGACAGTTCAGATATAAGGATTGGGAAAATGGATTCCACCTCTTTATGAGAGAAACTGCAAGGAATTGTGGCTATGCTTAATCTACCAGAATGTCAAAGTTTTTATTTTTTAGTGTGTAGTTTTTTAATGGTTATTCTAGCTATTAAATTATACATGCACAATGTATTAGCATGCTCATGTTGACATTTTACCATTTCAAGTGAGGTATTAAAATACAGAGCTATCTGTATTAACGTCCCTCTATTCTCCCCTATTTATAATATAATCATTGAAAATATTTTCTCTATAATGTTTATAACTACCTCAGACAGTACTACCATTTTTCCATACACCATCAAAGTAACTTAGAAAACCTAAGAGGAAAAGAAAAGTCTATTATATTTACTTATGCTTTTGCTTCCTGTATTTCTTCTTTCTTCCTGATGTTTGAAGATTTATCTTTTTTCTTTCTGTTTAGAAAACTTCCTTTAGTCAACCTTTATAGTTAAGTCTGATGATGACATCTTAGTTTTCCTTTACCTAAGCATATCTTAATTTCTCCTTTATTCTTTGTGGATACTTTTGCTAGATGTAGGATTCTAACTTGATATTTCTCTTTTTTCAACACTTATAAAATGTTTGCCACTTTATTTAGGTTTCCATTCTTATCTTGTTTCTGATGAGGATCTTCTATAATTTATTTTTTTCCCTATAGGTAAAGTGTAATTTATGTTTCACTGATTCCACAATATTCCCTGTGTGTTTAGATTATGGAAGTTTGTCTATGATGTCTCTTGATGTGGATTTATTTGAGTGTTTCATGTTTGAGGCTTGTCTAGCTTCACAAATATGATGATGCAATTCTTTATTAAATCAGTTGTTATTCATTTGAACATCTTTTAAGCTCCGCTTCCAATCTGCTGGTTCTCTGAATACATGAATGTAAGATCATTTGCTATCATCTCACAAAGCTCTAAGACTCTGTTTATATTTTTCTTTTTTTTCTCTTTGATGTTCAGATTGGATAATTTTGATTGTTTCAAGTTCACTAATTATTTTCTTTATCCTTTTCATTATTTCAGAATATTCTTGTTACATAATTCCAAATGTTTGTCATGTTGGTGTTGCCATCTGTTGATTTTCTTTTTTCACTCAAGTTAAGATTTTTCTGGTTCTTGATATGACAAGTAATTTTTTATTGAAACCTCACCATTTTTATTACTAAGAAGATTCTGCATCTTAATTTAAATCTTTTATTCTAGCTGACTTCTTCTGACATCATTTCTATAAGGAAAGTGGTGGTGCTGCCAGATGGGGGAGATGTCCAAGTTTTCCACTTGGCCTTTATTGGCTCCAAAGTCAAGGAGAAGCTCTCCTTTAATGCTGGATGGGGGTTGAAACTGTAGCTCCCCAGTATCCTTCACTGATACTATCAGGGCTTGGAGAGGGAGGAGTGCCTCCTTGCTATTCCTGAAATGGCCTACACTGACACACAATGGGTATGAGTGCCTCACTACCACTGGATGGTGTAACAAGTCCTGACTCTGCTAGGCCTCCTCTGACATCAGCCCAACAGGTAGGGAGAAAGGAGCTTTGCTACTTCTGGATAATGATGGAAATCCAGGCTCTGAACATGGTCTCCTCTGATACTGTGGTAGGGTGGCTATTACCCAGAAGAGATACAAGTAAGCCTGAGCTCCCTACTTGACCTTCTGTTACATCACCCAGGACAGACAATGTGGGATTTAGGAATTATATATTCACAAGGGTGGAAGCCTAGGCTTTCCACTCAGCATTTGCTGGTACAAGTGTGGTGGGGCCACAGTATTTTCAGTAGTGTTTGCATGGAGTGGTGTTGTTATTGTGAAAAAAATTTGTTGTCTTGCTGAGCTGCCCCTTTCCTCATCCTTTGACTGCAGACAACAGACTTTTATTGGACCTTTTTTGTGTGTCTGCACCTATTGATGTTTCTGGGTCACTGACTTTTTCAGCTTCAAATGTGGAATACATGCAACAAAACAAATACCCAGAGAAGCTAGTACCATGCTCTTTTTTGGAGTCTAAGTTTTTTTGCTTTTCATCTTTTAGAACTTCTTTATGCTAATTTTATTTATTTATTTATCTATTTATTTATTTATTTATTTATTTAGCAGGGTCTCACTCTGTCACCCATGCTGGAGTTCAATGGCGCTATCTCAGCTCACTGCAACCTCCGCCTCCAGGTTCAAGCGATTCTAGTGCCTCAGCCTCCCAAGAAGCTGGGACTACAGGCCTGAACCACCATGCCTGGCTAATTTTTTTGGATTTTTAGTAGAGATAGGGTTTCATTACGTTAGTCTTATATATAATTTCAAAATATATAGTTGTACTGAGGAGCTAAGATAAAAGGAAAGCTCATTCATCTACCATCCAAGAAGCTCAAGTATGAACACAAGTTTTAAAAGTACAAACATGACTGACTTTATATAAATAATTTATTTTAGAGTTTCTCAAAGGAAATTAACAGTCTTATGTTACCTGGGCATTAGTGACCAGGGTTTATTGAGCATGTATATGCACGATGTACTGTCACAAGCATTAGATACATTAGCTCTAGGTCTTGGAGAAACTCTGAAAAGGAGGTATCACCATTTCCGTTTTGAAGACGAAGACCTTGAGGCTTAGAGAAGTGCAATAATGTGTTTAAGGGAGAAGCTGGTATCCAGCAATACCTACTTAAAAGATTTCCTTAATTATACATTTCTCACAAGTAAAAGTTGAAAATCCATATTATGACATACAATACCTTTTACAGTCTAATTCAAGTTTTATCTTTCCAGTCTCTTGTCCCATCAGTCATAAGTCATAGTCTTGTCAATACAGAGCTACTTTTTTTTCAAAATGTGAATATGTTTTTTGGCACGTTTGCTGCACTCTATTTGCTTCTATGTAACATAGCCATCCCCTTCAACCTTCTCAGTTCCCAGACCCAAAGTCAAAGACTATGATTTATTCAGAATCTAAAATCTCATGGCTGGCAGCTCAAAAAAACATAATGCTAAATGAATCAATGCATTATATAATAGGGAAATAAATGAACAGTGCAATAATAACAATATGAAAAAGTGTTATATATTCTCAGTAAAATCATTTTGTCAGAGGCATAAGGAGTAATAATGCTAATTATACAAGTCATATTAATGACAAGGGCAATTTTAAAGCCTATGGTTTTGAACTCTTTAAAGCACTTTCACATAGGTTGTCTCATTTGATTCTCACATCATACCCTAAAGAAGATAGGAAGTTGTTATCATTTTCTTTTCACAGACAACCATGTTAGTTGTATAAAGTAACTTCTTATCCTGGATCAGCAGCCCCTAAAATGCACAGCCAGAATTTTCATTCCTACTTCATTCTCTTTGTTCTGCAGACGGCCTTTCTTTCTTTCTTTTTTTTTTTTTTTGAGGCAGAGGAGGCAGAGTCTGGCTCTGTCGCCCAGGCTGGAGTGCAGTGGCGCGATCTTGGTCCACTGCAACCTCCGCCTCCCGGGTTCAAGCTATTCTCCTGTTTCAGGAGTAGCTGGTACTACAGGCGCATGCTACCACACTGGGCTACTTTTTTGTATTTTGAGTAGAGACGGGGTTTCACCATGCTGGCCAGGCTGGTCTCAAAGCAGATGACCTTTCTAAAGGAGCACTGCGTTGGGTACCATGCAACTCCTACAGGATAGTCAGCTGGGGTTTCAACCCCAGCTTTGCCAGGGGCTAGCCCTGCTTTCTCATGTATACAAAACGTAATAATAGCAGGTATTTTGTAGAGTCATTATAGACATTAAAATTATTAAAGTATAATATTTGACATATAGTAAGTTGGGGTTTATTATAGGTAAAGCAGACTTCATAAATAGGATGTTTATAAATAGAAGCCGAGTTGACATATCAGTCAAACAGCAATGACTAGCTTAATGGGAGTTGTCTCTAGTGATATATTTCAATAGCTAAGCCTGAGCAACAAGTAGGTTACTTTAGCATGAAATGGGAAGACAAGAATGCCCGCTGAAATCTGAATTAAATTGTACAATAAAATAAGTGTTTTTAAAAATATGAGCCTTTTAAGAGTATTTGTAGAAAATGCCTTTGAGGCAGAGAACTCTCTGTCACCTTCCAAGCCAATCGAAGTCACCAAATTTGACATGAATATCTCCTTGATTCATCTTTCATAAGAGCTCCAATATAGATCAATTTTTATAAAATCAAGATAAATTTTCAAATAGCATATCAGCGTTTAAAAATTCTTTGTTCATTGTAAATAGTCCCAGCAATAAGAAGATTAATTTTCAACAACTCAGTGTATATGGTTATAATGTGTTCCCCTGAAATACAATTTTATATTATATCACTGGAGGGGAACAGATTGGACTCAATTATTTTATTCTCTCCTTTATTATTGAAATATTGAGGCACAACAAGACACCTTTTTGCCCTAATTGCATGCTCTCTAGTTGCTGGAAAGTTGTTGATCCTAAAAATTTCTAATATTGATGTTGAAGTGACAATATATGTTTCTGAATGACAAGCAAGTGTCAGAAATAAATAAATTGCAAGGGAAAGCACATAGCAAGATAAGGCAACTATAGTGAACAGAAATCTATTGTACATTTCAAAATAGCTAGAAGAGAAGAACTCAAATGTTCCTAGCTTAGAAAAATAAATATTTAAGGTGATGAATATCTCTATTACCCTGATTTGATTATATGAGTGTATTATATTATCACATGTCCTCTCCAAAATATATACATCTATTATGTATCGATAAAAACAAAAATAATAATTAAAGTTAAATCTAAGCATAAGCTTCATTGAAAAAAAAAAATAGAAACCTCTGCCACTGCATTTCCTTGCCAGAAACAAACATTGGCCAAGAAAAGAGAAATAGAAGTGCTTGGCTCTTTGAAACAAGCATGGAAGCTTTGATATGGGTTCATTTATCATTGCTGGCAATCAGGACCTTCTGGGTGGCTGCAAGAGACTAGTGATTTCCAGAGTGCCACCTTGCCTGTGTAGAAAGCCTGAGAACAGCAGAATCTTCCACAGTAATATATTTCTCTATGCCTAAGTAGAAATTGCCATAGTGAAAAAGAAAAAGAAAGAACTGCCTATGTGTGTTCTCAGACTGATTTTTTCTAATGGTGTATATTTCATAATGCCATACAACTCAGGGTTGTCTATAAAAGTGAATCAGGAAATGAAGAAAAAGGAAAATCAAAGGGCGTTGGAGAATACTCTCTACTGATCTCTTCTGAGTACTCGGGTTATTGTGAAGCTTTATTCATGGACTAATGCTTCATTTATAGTCTTTTATTCTGATGCTTGTGGTCCTTATAAATAATAGGTTACATTTGTCTATTATCATATAAAACTTTACATTCATCATCTCATTTAAAACAGGTAGCAATGATGAGATGAGTATTACCAGTGATTGAATATAGCTATGGTAACTGAGCTCATAGAAATTATCTAACCAGTGTAAATTTATAGGGCCAATAATTTGCAAAACTCCCCCTTGTACAACAGTCTTCTGGTTCAAAATCCAATACATTTCGGCTACTCGCATTACTTAGATAAATCAGTTTCTGAAACAAAAGAGCACACATCCTCACAGAGTGCTGTTACATGATCAGTGTGGGATGATTTTCCAATTCTATGACTCTTTCCTCATTTACAAGCTGTCATTCTTTTGTAAAGATGAGATTCCCTTTTCCTAACACCTCATCCTATTGCTTAAGTATGTGTATGAATTTCTAGGTTTTAAAATTCAATATTGTATAACATTTTAATTATAACTGCATTATGATTATCATTATTAATTTTTAAATTGTTTAATATTAGACTGGGGTTTGAATTTCAAAGTAGTTTCGATCTACTTGACATGTTTCTATCAGTTTTCAACAGCTTCTGTACTTTCTGGCACAAGACGTCCTAGGCTTATGTTATATTATTTCCTACCACAAATTTGAAATCACCCATTTATCTAAAATGTTCTCATTCATTTTCATGGTAAATAATAATTAGAAATCAATATGTGGGTGCTCAGTAGGCCTATTGCTACAGAGATATCCTAGAGTTTCAAATCAAATCTAAACGAGTACATTCTTCCTCACATTTTTCCCTCCCTTATTTTTATCTTTTTTTTCCCCAGAGTTAGAAACCTGGTTCCAAGAGCATCAGTACATTTACTCATTTTCTCTATTCTACAGATTCACTGCAAAAATACCACTATTAACCGCAAGCTCATCATAAAGTTCAAGAATTCTTGCAGGTTTATTTTTTTATGTCCCATCTGACCACCATCTCAGCATAGACCCAAGGCATGTAAGAACATCATAGATAATCCAGCTCCAGAGAAGCTATCTCAAACCAGAATTGCCCACTAACCCATAAATTCAAGAAAAATGATAATATATGTTAGTTACTACTATTATTTTATAATTTTAAGCCACTGTGTTTTGGAGAACTTTCTTGACACAATAGAATGGTCTTGTAATGTGCCAATCTGGCTAGACTGACCTACATTTTACAGAATTCTCATCCTTGTATGTTTCTGTAAGAATGGAGCACAAGGAAGATGTCTGCAGGATTTGGAGGGCAGAAGAAAGGCATTAGCACTTTTGCAGCTGACACACGTTGTTCCCGATCTGCTGACTCACCTCGTTGACATGAAGCAGCCTCTGATCCTACAATTTCTTTATGTTCCCTGGTCTCTACTTTAGTTTTTAGGGTTCCAGAGTCAAATGTGTGTGTTCAGCTCTGTGACAAAGGGCCCTAGTTTTTGTAGGAAACCCATTCACCAGGGTCAGAGACAAGAAGAACAGGCAAAGGTTTCAGTCTGTCCTTGTGAAATTCCAGCTCATGTTTCTTGGGTTACAGCCTGCTCCTAATATTCCCCTCTTAATTTCCTGCCTCTTAGGCCCCATATTCCAACATCAGGCACGGAGATAAACCAGAGTCTATGTAGCTTACAACTGCATGAGCCAATTATTTGTAATAAGTCCAGTTTGTAGATCCTACTGATTCTGCTTCTCTGATTGAGCCCTGACTGATGCATAGAGGAATAGATAATTAATACAAAAGGTTTTGAGAAAATACAGGGATACTGTGTAACTTGGCTTATTATGGAAGGTTTCCAGAAAAAAAAAAAGGAAGGAAAGAAGGAAGGAAGGAAGGAAGGAAGGGAGAGAGAGAGAAAGAAAGAAAAGTTAGGCTAAGTTCTCAAGAATTGCCAAACTTGGAGATTTAAAGGGGAGCTTTTTCCTGCCCATGTCCTCTAGAAGTTTGGATAAATCCTAAAGATAAACAAACCACCTCACCGACACAGCATACGGCAATGGGAGCATTGAATTTGAGGACCTACTTCCTTTCAGATTGGGGGATATATGAAGTGGGATTTCTTATTCTTCACTGTACCATGAAACTACAGAGGCCTTATTTTCTTCTTCCCTGTCCCTTGGAGAATTGAGGTAATGCAATTTGCAATGGAATCTATAAATTTTACACCCTATAGAATCAGGTTGTCAATCACTCGTAAAAAGGTCGAATTTCCAATATCAACTGTAGCTCACTTTAATTGCTTGAGGCCCCTGGGGCAGTTAATTTCAAATGATAGTCTGCATCAGGTATTTTGTAATTACATGCTGATATTCTCTTTATTATTATAACAATATTATTATTATCATTACTACTACTACTTAATACTGGCAAAACAGAGTTGTCTGAAGAAGGAAAAAAAAAGATTCTGAAGTGAAAAAAGATATTCAGACCCAATAGGCTATTTTTAATTAGAGCATCACTCAGGCTTTTATCTTTTATAGATAATTTACAGTTTATGTCTTTAACCTTTTGTATTTTTAAAACCCAACAAAATCAACTTTTCATATTAGAACACTGTTGTAGGAAAAATATAGAGACTAATTATCCTGAAAGATCACATTAGGAATATACTACTAGGTCATTAACTGATGTCTGAGATTCTGGTAATGTAAAATGGGCTCAAGTGAATTGAAAAGATACACATGAATAATAAACAGATTATTTTCTCTTGGTAGCTTTTTAAGGGAGCATATCAGCAAACTCACACAATTTCTTATGGAAATCAACAGTGTATCTTTTTCAAATTCCACTGAAATCACATCCAGTTGGGGGAGAAAAAGTTCTTTGATTACCACTCATGGGGTTGAGCACATAACTTACTTAACAGCAAAGATGTCTCATGTCAGAAATTAGAAATTACTTTTCCTAAGTATCTTTTAACTGTGGGTTCCAAACATTTTCAGTTAGCCAGTTCAGGACACCCCTCCCAAAGCGCGGGTGGAAAATAAAAGTATAGATATAAGATTCACTAAGGATGAGTTAAAATAAGTAGAGTTATCCTACTGGTAGCTTGTGGATGGGCCGTAGACACACACAGGCCCACTAGGTTATGGGACCCTTCCACAGACATTGCCAAGTGAATGCATTACTGGGGCATTTTACCACCAGTACCAGCAGGACTCCGATGTCCTTATCTACCCACAGCTGCACCACTCCTAGGAATAGGACCATAACATTTCTGAAACCCTCTGAGCCAGTATATCTCATCTGTAACATGGTGGGAGCAAAGAACACACACTTCATGGGGGCTGTTATGTGGCTACTGTGGGATAATACATGCAAAGTCCTTTTGTCATTGCCTGGCACATCATGGACTCACAATAAATGGCAGAAATGTTAGGAAGGTGTTACCCTATTGTTTCCTGTCTGTACTTAATTCCTATGGCTCTCAAGCCTTCTCTTGATGCCATGCTATTCAGTTATATTACATCCCTGTGGATGGAAGGGACTTGGCCTCTAGCGTTCTCTTACGGTTCTTGCGCTTACTATTATGTGATGTACTCACATTGACACCCTGACTTTCTTGTGACCTGCTTTGATCTCAATCTTATTTTCTTGCCCTCCTATTATTCTTTTGCCACCACTAGTTTGGGGCTTGACTATATTGAGCCCCTTTGAGCTATGATTTGTATTTTATGTTCAACTTTCCATAATAAAAATCTATCCTGATATGGCCTGGTTTTCAATGTCTCTTATTCCTTTGTTAGCACCCTATGGGCTGTGTTGCATCTCAGTGTGCATCGGCTTTAATAATAGAACATGGAGAGTCTTCTGATGTTATTAGAGATTTATCTTAAATATCAACCATGGTGATGTGGCTTTGAAGTGTTCCACAGTGCCTGCTATTACCTTACTTTCTGCACTGGGGTCTCTCGTCTGTTACTCAGATACTATTTCAGTACAGCCTGGTTTCACATTATACCAAGTCTCTGTTACTCATCTGTCTTTAAATGTCACAAATGCATATTTCCAGAAATCATTCATTTTTATTTATTCTACCAATATATCTCGGAAGCCTACTCTGTTCAAGGCAGGCACTGTTCTTAATACCTGCATCTATATCTAATCATCTATCCAAATCCATCAACAAGACACTTGGCTAAATGGGGAAAGTAGAGACAGTTCTCCAGGAAGCATGTTGGATGCTTCCTATGCAAAGTACATCATGGGGAATTTTAATAAGTTAGATAAATTATATAAATAGAGTATGGCTGGAGTATAAGCCCTGGGAAATAGGAATGTGCAACAATTACAGTGGCAAATTAGATAGTTTTTCAGGAACTGCTGACTCAACCACTACCCCAATCTCAATACTATGTTATACTTCCCATGCTATGGCCCTGGCCTTGCCTTGCTCAATGTAAAGAATAGAAACGACCCGGTGACAATCCAGAGCCTAATATGTAGGAGCATCCTGTATTTACACTCATCTACCTAGAAGCTTCCCACCTTTGTTAGGAGAAGAATATGCTTAGGTAAACGCTGTATTTACAGTCTGGGTTCCAGACTGAGCGCATGGACTGGATCTGTGGTCTGGATCCAACAGCAGGTGTTCCACAGCCAAATCAAACCACCTGCCCACCTTCATACTTTTGAGTGGGGAATAATTGCTTATTGCTGTTTGCCATTGAGATTTATTTATTACCTAGAAATAATTACCTAGAAATAGCTGACTAATTCAATAACTTATACTGAAATAGTGCTTAATATTTTATATGCTTGGCATATATTAGCTCTTTTGCTCCTCTTAACAACCCTATGAAAAATTATGTAAGTTATCTTGATTTTATAGAAGAGGAAGCTAAAATACAAATATTTGAGTCTCTTGCTGAACTCAGCAGGAGAGCCTAGTTCCCAACCTATCAAGGTGAGAAAAACTGAGACTGAAAATGTTTTTCAAGCCTGGATAATGCTGGTCTTTTGACCAGCTTATGAAATTTGGATTTCATCTTAGGAGCTTGCAAGGCATTAAAGAAATATTAAGAGGTGAGTGATGTGATCAGATTTGGCTTTATAATGACCCTCTAACCCCTGTGTAAAGCATGAATTGAAGGAAGAAAGAAGGTTCCAGATAAAAACAAAAGACAATACAACCTAGACTTAAACTGGGGAGGTAGAAATTGAGATGACAGATGTAGACATTTAAAGATTATTTTTACTGTGCCAGCAATTCAATAGAGTGAAATTTTTTTTTTAAAAAAAGAAAAGATTCTTAGATTTCAAGAGTAAAGAACTGGATCCTGAGAAAGGGCACCCTGGGAAGGAGATGGTCTGGTAGAGACAGATGATTTGAGATACTTGTGAGACATGTCCAGTAGGTGGTCTGACAAATTGTTGGTGCTTTAGCATGAAATCTGAGCTGACTAGGTTTGATCATAATAGAAATAATGAGCAACTGAGATTGCCTGGGATTCAACAAACATTTCTAGGAAGTTAAGGTGGGAAAGCAGAATAGCATATTCCCATAGAAGTTAGAACAAATCTTTCAAAGGGAAAACAATAGAAATTTTTAAATTCTACAAAAAAGTGTATCTAGGGCTGAAGAGAGTCCTAGATACCATTAGTGACTTGGTGGCACGTCTTAAGATACTTTTCATCTCACGTCTCACAGAACTCTTCTTACACTGCGTGCTCTAACCATCATAGATGAAGTAACTTTCCCCAATGTGCCCTACTCTTTTGCCTCTTGTCAGAGCTGGTGTCAACGGTGCATTAGCAATGGGTCCTACATTCAGAAGAAAGCCAACCTTTGTTTAATTCTCTACTGTCACCCATTATGAAATTTTAAATAATTGTATCTTTGAGCTTGTGTTTTGAAAGGGAAACTCGAAGGAACAATGGAGCATGCATGTGAGCCGAGGAGGTATGTGTAACATGCATGTCTGTGAGGCCCCATAGGCATATGGGGTCATCCTGATGCTTCATGGGCACAGTGTTCTGATGGACAGGATGCATGGGGATTCAGCAAGACTCCAAGTGTGTAGAAATGCAGCACATCTGTGACTGAGCAGGGGTGCAAGGAGCCCTGAGAGACCCTGGTTTCCTTTACAAGCAGAACTTACTGGAAATGATGGTGTTGAGGAAAGGGAAAAATAGAATAACACATATTTACTCTTATTTTCTTTGTTACTCATCAGTAAGTTGAAGGTAGAGAGTGTTGGTAGAATGAGCATTTTTCAAGAAGTGAGATAAAAACCATTGAGTTAGCTTTAAACAGTATTTCCACTGTTGTGGTAAAAACTAAATACACATACGTGTACCAACGACAGAATACAAATTGTGTAATTTTGATGATATTTTTGTGAATTAAATGTTCTTATAGTAGAGTTAAACTTGTACAATATGAAGATGAAATAATATATTTATGCTAATAATTAAAAATATTAATTTTTCTTTAGCTAGAAGGACATTAAATAGTAAATAAAAATACTATGACAAGCCAAGTTGAGAAAGAAACTGTGGAAGACAGAAAAGAGCTTTGTATTTTAGTACCTTAATTAGAATTTTTTTTCTGCTTTTTGAACAAGGGGACCTGCATTTTATTTGGCTGGATCCCACAAATTGTGTAGCTAGTCCCACTTCTGTGTCTGTGTACAAAAAGATTCTGCATTTTTCTGGTTTTGTGACTTCCTCAAGGAAGCATTTCTTAGACATTACAGCCTATTCTGTTGCTCTTTCTTTATGGTCCCTTTTCTGTTGTGTGTGTGCATGCGGGTGTGTGTATGTGTAAGTGCATGTGTGTATGTGTGTGTGCATGTGTATGTGTGTACATGTATTCTGTACATATATATGTGTGTGTATATATGTGTGTCTGTGTGTGCATGTGTATACATGTGTGTCTGTGTGTGCATGTGTATGTGTGTTCCTATGTGTGCATGTGTGGTCCTGTATGTGTGTGCATATGTATGTGTGTTCCTGTGGGTGTGTCTGTGTGTGCATGTGCATATGTGTGTATGTATGCGTGTATGTGTGTGTGCATGCACATTTGTGTGTGTGTTTCCTTATAGTCATTTCTATTTTACATGTCTCTATCCTCTTACAGACTATAAACACCTCAAAGGCAAGGGGTGATGTCATCTTCATGGTTATATACCCAGTTAGAAAGGAGTGTAAAGCTCATTTCTTGAAAAAATACATAGTGAATTCAACACAATAGGTTTCCCACAAAGTGTTAGATTTAATTTTTTTTTAAAAAAGCAACTTTGGAGAAATGTGAATTGTCTTTGGAAATTAGTTGGGATTATGGAATGATGTACAGGGAGATAACGCTGCCAAATTAGTTGAGAAAAATTTGGAAGTATCTTGCATGCAATGTTATTCAGTGTTGGCTTATCCTATTGCAAGGGGATTTTTAAGCCAGGGGATTTATTCACTTTTCAACAAATGTTTATTAAGGATCTACTCTGTGCCAGGTGCTGTTCATGGTACACAGGATACATTAGTGCAAATTCCCTGCCCTTGTAGTGCTCACGTTTAACTGGAATGACATTTTCAGATCTATGTTTTGGAAAGCCCACTATATAGACCTTATCCAGAGGTTTCACCACAATGTGGATGCATCATTGGTTTGAGATGTCCTTTAGTGATCTTATCATTATTTTTTTAAAAAACCTCAGAGTCTTATGGCAATCAACCTTGCCCCAACCCTGGAAGTCTCAGTATCTGATCTAGGAATGAGGAATTCAAATATTATGTCACCAGATTAATTACTTATAATTTCATTTGCCTTTCTTTAAGTTAACCTTATATGAATTCTTGAAGCATCATGCTGCCCTGTGATCTGCCCTGTGAACACAAATTAACAAGTACAGATTTTCAATTGTTCTAGGATTAAAGAAATGTGGAATTTTAAAATGGACTTTTCCATTTCTACAGGGAAATAAAAGGGTAGAAGAATTCAGAAGAAGGAGAGTTTGCCATTTCATTGAGTAAAGACCTCTGCCCTGGTACATAAATGCTTGGTACCATCTTTATTTTTTAACTCCCAAACTGTCAGCCTAGAGGAGATCGGTGGCATCCCAAGACCATATGTAGCTATTCAACCAGCAGTAGGCATTACAAAGAAAAGAAGTATCAAGGGTCAGAACCATGAAGAATTCCTCCAACTGAAAGAGAAGCTGGAGGAAGTAGTGTCAGTGCAAGCGACGGGAAGAATAATCTCAGTGTTGTGGGAGGAAGGGCAAGTGCCTTCAGGCCTTATGGAGGAGAGAGGGACCTAACCACGATTTTGTTTCATTTTTTCAAATGTAATTTTTCTCATTATATGAAGATATATTTTAAACTAATAGTTTCCCAAACTCTCCTTATAATTAGATTACCTAAGGAGCTCCAAAAAGGGCATGGTAACAAGACAAGGAATACATATTTTTTTGCATCTCCCTAGGACGGTAATGCACAGCCATAAATTAGGTAACCAAATCTTACTTTATCTTTGCAAAAGTATAATTCAGAGTGGTAATAAAGTAGCACTGTTCATTCCTTGGACAACTCATAATGGGCAAAAACACACAGAATTACCCCAAAACCTATCAAAAAGGAGAACAGATTTGCTCATTAAGACACTACAGATGAAAAAAAAAATGACCTGAAGCTTACAGAACAAAAAAATACATAGTCAGCGAAGAGAAATATTTTTATAACTGCACAAACAGTAATTCCAATCCAGTTGTCAGAGCATAATGCATGGGGAATTGGGACATCAGATTGAATTATGTATGATAAGAGTAATGAATAATTTTGTTTATAACTTTATTAGCTAAGTGTTTCTCCATTCGCAGTGAATTTCTCAAGAGATCAAGTAGCAGATTTTATTCCTATGGAGGATTTATTACTTTTGCTAATTTGACAGCTTGATGCTTATAGTTATGGGTCATGGGTTTACTCTGCATGAGATGGGGTTAGGCAGGGCAGAAACCGGCTTCAGAATCAGGCAGAAGTTTTCATTTGTAGAACAAAAGCCAAGGTCATAAAGGAAAATCAGGTCAACAATTGGCAATCATTAGGATATGTTCATTATCTGTAACCTTTGATTAATCTGGAACCATCTTCTTCATCGAACTTCTTCTCCTGAACTTTGGATGTGTCATTTTTTCATGATATCCAAGATATCTCCAGTTGGCTTTACCTGCAATACAGACTACCCAATGGCAATACAGCCATAACTGAATTAATGCTTTTTTAAAGTCTACATTTGTTGTCTTCCCTATATCATAGAGTAGTGATACCACTTGGTCTCCAGAGTCAGAAATCATGTCATCTCATCTACTGCTTATTTATTAACTTCCAATGACCTCGTTCATTCTTTCTCATAAACAGTTCTTAATCTTTTCTTTCATTGTCATTACTACAGTAACTGGCTTTTTTTCCCTTTTTTCCTGGATCTTATTCATTGCTGTTTGCTTAAATTTTCAGACTTTCCTATCCGGAGTTCTTGTCTTTAGTTCCTTTCCATTTAAAATACACTCTGCCTTAAGGAGAAAATGTAGAAATAAAAATATGATCACACTTTTCTGCAGTTTGCAATTACTTGGACATTTGTTATCAAAGTTGACACTCACGGCTTATTGATTTCATAGCTTCTATAAGCCACGCTTGCCTTTCTCTCTAAACTCATGGGCACACAATGTTGAGAACAAAGGTTAAGAGCTCAAGTTATAGAGTCAAGAAGTAAGAGTTCCTATCCTGGGTTTTCTCTTTAAGCTTTTCTCATACTTAATGTCACCCAGTATTCTCATCTGTGATATGAGGATGATGAAAATTACTAATAGAACATATGCATATATTTCTGGCTAGTATTAGTTAACACATATAAGAACTTAGAATATTGCTTGACTATAATAAAAGTTATCAAAGATTGTAAGTGTTATTATTACTTTTAACTTTTCTCCTAAGTGCAACTTTATGTTCTTGAATGTCCCTCCCTTTCTTATATTTTTATAGATTTGCATATATATTTCCTTTTGCCAAGAAGCCAATCTTATCCTCCATGACAATCTCAGCTTAAGTTGTCGAATGCTGGGAAGCCTTCTCTGATACATTAACTCTATCCCTACTACCAACAATCATTTTTTTCTGAACTCATCTCTGATTTCTGTTTTCCTTTTTCTTTTTCTTAGATGCAGTCTTTTTCTGTTGCTCAGGCTGGAGGTACAATCTCAGCTCACTGCAACTTCCGCCTCCACTTTCTGGGTTCAAGCAATTCTCCTGCCTCAGCCTCCCAAGTAGTTGGGATTATAGGTGTGCACCACCATGCCCAGCTAATTGTCATATTTTTAATAGAGACAGGGTTTTGCCATGTTGGCCAGTTGGTTTAGAACTCCTGACCTCAGGTGATCCGCCTGCCTCTGCCACCCAAAGGGCTGGGATTACACGCATGAGCTACCGCGCCCAGACTCTGATTTCTGTTTTAATAGCACTGTATTTAGCTTGGTAACCGGTTTTATATCATTCATTTACTCATCTACCTCCCATCTAATGTGTTTTCTTGAGGACATCTCATTTTAGTATCCTCAATGTGTATGCATGGTATACACTCAATGTGTGTCTGTTAAATAAATCAATGAATAAAAAATAAATTATGAAATAGCCATGGTAAAAAAAAAAAAAACATAAAAGACAATTAAAAACAGGAGAAGCTTTACCAACCTAAGAGAATACTGTAATATATGGAGGAAAGGCAAATGTCTGCTCTTTCTCCTCTAGCTGAGTGGTCAAAGGTCTGATACAGCTGATGAAGTCTCTATGGGTTTTAATTTGGTGAGGGGAGAGTATCTTTTTAAATCTAAGATTGCATCAAAAATAAGAGACCATGAGATACAGAGATAAAGGAGAAAAACAAGGAAGAGAATGTGAAAATGCAAGATCAAGATGTAATGCAGAACTTAAGTAGATTCTTAGCATCTGAGAATGAAGCCAGAGATTCAAAATCCCAAGAAGACATGAGGCTTTGCATAGCAGGTCTATCTGACAAGATTGATAATATTTTCTATGTGATTAAGTACCTGAAGCAGATCTATTACACTAGCTAATCCTTGCATATAGGACACAGCAGAAACTGAAGATCAACTGCCTGCATTTTTAGTCTAAAGTAAGAGAGGACAAATAAAATGTTCTGGTTAAATCTAGTTTTTGTGTTCAGACGCTTGAAGTTCCAATTTTCTTGCTCTTGATACATGCAGTAGTGTAGGTCTATCCACATTTTAAGAGAGGGTGTAACTCTTATAATTGTAACTATCCTTCACAACACCTTTTTCATATTTGAAATGGAATATGAGTTTTCAGTGACTTTGTGATATGTCCACTTCACAGTGAGGCTGACTTACATTTTTCAGAATCCTATTTCTTGCATGTTTTCACATAATGTGGTCTACAAGGAAAATTCTTGGGAGATTTGTGGGACAGAAAGTATACAATAACCTATTCAGCCGTGTGTTTTGTTGTTGATCTACTGATTTACCTCATTGGTATGAAGCAGCAACTTCTCTACCTTCTTTTGTCTTCTCCTTCTGCTTCTCCAACTCTTGGGTCAAGAGTATGTGTGTTAGGTGTTCAACGAAGGGGTCTCAATCCTGCAGGGTACATGTGTAACCCAGGGTAGAGGCATAAGTAAGTGATATGGGTTTCACTCCATCTCCACGGGTTTCACTCCATCTCCACGGGTTTCCAGCTCATGCCTGCAGATTCCACCCTGCTTTAGCTCTCTCCCACTTTACATCTACATTCCCTTCCTGACAATATGTCCAGTTGTCTCCAAGCTCTAGCATCATCTGCAGAAAGTCAGCTTACAGAGACTGCCCAAGCAACTCAACAATTGTGTAAGTCAAAATTCTTTTGACAAATTTATCTTTATATCTATCGCAGATTCCTGATGCATTTGATATTCAATCTCAGGAAGTTAAAACAGAGTCCTCAGCACTGACAAAACTCTCAATGATAAGTTATGTAGTCATTGAACTATAGTTTCACTTTCCCTGTGAACTGGAGAGTAAGTCATCAGCTGAGATTGGTATGGAACAGAGAGAGATGAGCGGAGTGAAGAATGGTGGAAAAATATATATATATATGTATAGTTGAGAATAGGAGAAAACCTAGCTAAGGAATCTCTTCCAGTTTATCTGGACATTGGTAAAAATGTAATATCTGTTATATTTTTACAAAGGTTCAGAACAGCACAGAGGGCAGACTGTGGGGTGTCTCTCTTTCCCTCCTCTCTCTCTCTCATGCACACACACAAACACACATGCACAAATGTATAAAGTAGTTCTGCTTCTGTGGATGAATCCTGATGGACACATTTTTTAATCTTCTATGTTACTAAGGTTATATAGAATAAAGAGTCATAAAAGTCTCTTAATTACTATTTAGTCACATTTTTATAATCACAAGTCCTCTCAGTTTTCAGTATCTCCTTCCAATTCTCATATCCATTCTATTCAATATTAATAAATGAAATAACAACAAAAACAGCAACAAGCACAAAAATTAGACATCTTTCTCTACTGAGTTTACAGGTATTAAAGGGTGAATGTTCATGATCTATTCTAAGAATAAGCATTTTTGGAGCAACCCAAAAACTTGCTTAAAAAAAGGTCACTAATTTTGCATTTCTATTTAACTAGAAACTCCCTTTCTCATGCTGATTAGAAATGTCATGTTCTGAAACTTGCATCTAATGGTTTTGGTGCCTTTTCTGAAATACAAAATAATAATTATACACTTTTTAAAATGTTAAACCTTCATAAATCCTAGAATGTTTATTATTTTCTTCCTGGGTCATGTATTCTTTATGTTTAATTTCACCAGAACTTTTAAATTTTCTGGACTCTAAATTGAGTGCTTTAGAACAATGCCAAGACATTTTTCTAGATAAGACAAATGTGTCCCCTCTTCTAAGATACGTAGCTTGAAACAATCTGAGGCTTTTATGGACTCACCACTTAGAGAACAGAATCTTGGCACCCTGTAGTTTCATAATGCATTACTGTAATGCCTGGAGGCTTATATTCAATGAGAAGTGCTAAGCACCTCTTACATTACTGGGTAGTTTATCTGTAGTGTACTTTGAAATTAAGTTAGGAAGGTGATATAATCATGTAAATTCCCAGGCTGGTCATAAAGAATTGTGACAGCTAGTTGGAGAGGCATCGGCTTGATTTGTGGCAACTTTGTTGAGTTGCTTAGCTGGGATTATAAATAATAAACTCCCCAAACATAATGAAGTAGTAAATGACAATAGAAAATCAATAATGCATAAAAACATGCCTGAGATTTACTGATATTTAAGCCATCCCCACACTGCAAGGTTCAAAGTTTGCTTAAAAACCACTTTCAAGGACCAAGAAGTGATTTCATATAAGATACTATGTGGAGGATGAGGACATTAACTAAATTCACATTCATGGTTTAATAATTACCCAGATGATGTGATTCTCATGGGATGGGGAGTTAATAGAGATGGATCAGCTCATTTCTAGTATAGGTTTTTAATTGCACCAACATTATTCTTTAAATAGTGCCTTTGTCTGTGGAAAATTACAAGTAAAGCAAACACCTTGGCCTTTGCTATTGTATGAGAACAAAAATCTCATGTCATCTTTCTTGAGTAAGTGATTTATAGGCAATAGAAGAATGGCTAGTATCCACTTTTTAAGGTGGCAGGTGACACAGAATCTTTGAGAAAGAACACAATTTTAGCCTAGACAGTGATCACAAGAGGATTTTATAAAATAGAGGATTTTATAATATAGACACAATAGAGTCTGGAGGGAGATAGGGAATCTCATGAGACTGAAAAATATTGAGAGACCAGCAATGAGAGAAAGAAACATGACTAGGATGAGATTTTTCTTTCAGAGCATCAATACAAAAGCTTGTTTAAAAGTCCTCAGTTCTTTACTCATTCCTAATCCTTTTTATCTATTTATAAAATGCTTTGTCTTCACTTGCTTTTAGCTTAGCATTTATGGTCCATAACTGTAACTTCCTTTGGCCATTCTCTAAACTCCTTATTTCAGTGTTGTTTTGTTTTGCTTTTCTTCACCAACTGGGACAACATCAACTTGTATTATGCCATCTATCTCCAGGATCCCTGGCTACTTTCAGAATACTGAGTTGTACCGAAAAAAATTCACACCTGTCTGCCCTCCGTGCTACTCCAAACCTTGGCCAACACGGAATAAAATCCTGATCTTGTCCAGATAACCCAGAAGAAAGTCCTTAACTAGCATTTTATCCTATTCTCTACAATGTATTTGAAAATAATTCTCACTCATATTCAGACCTCTCATCTCTCTGCTGCTCCAACCCAGTCTCAGCTGATGACGTCAGCTGCAATTCACAGAGAAAATAAAACTACAGTTCAATGACCATGTAACGTCTTACTGAGAATTGGGTCCGTGCTTGGGACTCTGCTTCGACTAACTGAGACCAAATATCCAAATGTGTCAGAACTCAGGTCCTGTTGCATTTCCTCATCCACTTTTGGAATGGTGGAGTGATTAAGGGCTTCTCCTCCCTATCATTTTATTCTTTCTTGGATCAGATCACATTTTACCTTCTCCGTGACTTCACATTGCCTCTTCCGTGGTCCCCACACCTAGAGGGGTTTCAACTTTAGTGGTGAGTGGTGTCTTTTCATTACTATCATATAACCAATCTCTCTCTCTCTCTCTCACACACACACATATACCCCAAATGCCTACTTCTACCCCAAGTTTCTCTCCTAATAACACCAAGTACTTTCCTGCTCCCTCGTAGCCATGCTTCTTGACAGAATTGTCAAAATCTTCACAATTTCAACTTTTCTACTTTCCACACATTCTTGAAGTTAATGACTAGAAATCTGTTAAATACATATTTTTAATGGGGGAAAAAGTTTGCATCCTATATATACTTTATTGGCACTATGTATACCAGAAAAAAATTATGTGTATAATTGAAGTCTTCTACAAGATGATTTGGGGGAATTAAATTATTACACATCAGGGTTGTCTTTGCATCCTTGCAGCCATATAAATGCTTACCGTAATAGGTAATGCTATCAGAAATGATTTTGAATAAAGCAACATGCAGGTTGTACACGTAATATGCTCAAAAGTATGTAATAAAGTATGCTTAGAAAACCTGAAACAGTATACCAGCATGCAATACTAGCAGGCATCAGACTCTTGGAAAAGAAACCCCATCCTGGGCTTTCTTCAAACCTTACCTCTGTACCCATAAGTGTCTGTGAGGCCAAGGAGATGTACCTACCTGGAGCCCCCCTTATCCTCCCTTCTTTATAATGCCTTAGTTACCCAGGACTCCAGAAGTTCCTGCTTCAGGGGTTCTAGCCTCTTTCCCAAATTTGTCTTTTCAAGTGTGAATCACATCACTAGAAAGTGACCTAGACGTAGCTATTTTGGAAGCTCTGATCAGGACTTGAATTTGCTGGCTGGATTAAGTGGAATGGGCAAAGGCTTCCATGGGGCCCCTTGTGGAATAGGTCAGTGCTGAGACCAGAGGAGGTCAAGGCCCCCTCCATGCTGCTATGCTGAGGTGAGAAACTTCTAGGACCTGGCATTTCAATATTTGAACTTGAACTTGTGGTCATTGTTTAGATATATTTTTTAAGGTAGAAAGAAAAGCATATATACATTTATTGTCAGTAGGTTTGTTTGATGTATGACTTAGATATTTAAATATATGTTATATGGGCTTCCATGTGCACCTAAGGTAACAGCCTCACAAATGTTGTGAGCATGTCCACTAATATGTTACTAGTAATTTCATCCCTGTGAGAGTAAGGTTAATTATTTCTTTTTCTTCCTTATTTTCTTCCTTTTGTAACCTAAAAATAAAATTCTAAGCACTTCAACTGACCGAACAGACCAGTCTTGGCCAAGTGGACAGCAGCATAACCTTAAAACTGAGTCCTCAGCCAGGACAGGATGGGGGATCAGACACACCTCTGTATAGCTCCTCCCTGTTTAACCATGATTGGCCTTCCTTCCCTGAGGGCTTAATGGAAACCAGCCCTTCCAAAAGACTCTACCACTGATATAATTATCAACCAAGGGCCTGATGCTTCTTCTCCTTTTTGACCTGATAAAATGCCATGGACCATGGATTGGTTCTGGCCAGTCTATGAAGAATGTGCATTAAGGGTTTTTGTGTCATCTGCTTCATCTGTTGAAGTCAGAGGACCGAAAACTCCATCCTTGGATTATGCTGATGCTAACACTGGCTTTTTAAAACATGGGTCTCATTAAAGTGCATGAAGCTCAATTGCACACATGCATGTTTCTCCTGTTGTAAATATTCATGACTGTTCCTATAGCTTACTAAAGATGTATATTTGGCCACCCTGCTCAGCATAAATCCCTGTTCTTTTTGCCCCTCCTTCAAAATGTCTGTTTCTGGCTTCTGGCCAGAGGCTGTGCTTCCCAGACTGTCAGAATGGCCACTCTGAAGGATGCAACCCTTTATGACAAATAAAAGCCTCCTTTCCAAATTAATGAATCCCATCGTTCTTCAGTTAGCACTTTTTTTTTCTTTTTTCTTTTCTCCCTTCCTCCTTCTTTCCATCTCCTCTTTCCTTTCCTTCTTTCTTCCATCATTATATTTCTAAATCACTATTTTCCGAATCTCTAGTTTTTAAAATTACATTTACAGTTAGAAAACAACAAAATAAGTTTTAAAATATTATCCAGTAGTCAACAGATAAGATACAAAATAAATTTTAAGATATGTATGCCAATGAGAAACTGTAAATATTTGGCTCCAGAAAATGTAGATAAGCCAGACTGGAAAATAGTTTTTTAAAAAAATGCTAGACCACAGCTGGTAAGTGTTGGTATTGAGGAAAAGTAGCTCTGCAATGCATGGTGATTTTCCACTTTAAACCAAAAATACAAATCTTAGCAACAAAGGACACGGAAAAAATGAATTAACATATATAAAAACATTGCTGTGAAAGCTGATTAGAAAGCTTTTTCAAGTTTCCTTCCCAAATAAATTTGACTGATGGAGAAGCATCAACAATAGTAATGAGCATAAAAAAAGTAACAAGACCCCCAATTTTCAAGGTCAAGGATCTATTAATGCTAAGATGATACTAAGGGAATAGGAAATATAATAGCTTCAATTTACTTATCCTAACCCCGCATTTCATAGCCTCTCATCTTTTCTCTTTCAGTCAAATGGAATTCTCCACTAAAAGCATTCTAAGAAGTTCACACAGGCATGAAGTTAGACATGAAAGCGTTTTCTATTTTCTTAAAATTGCTGCCTTGCTCCTGATTAAGGCCGGGGAGATGCAGTTGGAAGACAATGAAGTGACTTTTAGAGGATGGCCACGAGGTAGCACAGGGGAAGGTCAATGAAGGACTCAGTCGCTGTGGATTGACCAAAGCCTCAGCAAGGCCTCCTGGAAGAATGCCAGCTGACAATGCTGCATTTATACATTCTGGTTTTCCTGTCTTAGAACACAGAAATAGCTCACTCAGTTTCCTATTTTTGAAGCTACGTATATTTGAGTGCTGGTAAACTTTTACTAAATTTCCTTCCTTAGTCTGAGTTATTTTTTTTTTTCTTTTCCAATATCTCTTTCTAAAACTCCAATACAATTCTATTCTTTCCCTGGTTAATATTTTCATTCAATTTCCCAGTTCCTGTAATTCTAAACTTCTTCACCTCATTGGGCAAATGTCTTCATTAGAAATGGGCATCACCTCTCTTTATGTTTTTCAGGCTTAAAACCAGTAAAATCTTGTAGAGCTCCATTAACTAAGGTAAATTTTGAAGCCTGGGTATGTTTATGTACACAGGTCTCTGCCCAGAACACACCCGGTAACCTTTCTTCCTGGTTTAATGGCATCTATCCCTTTAAGGACACGCTCCCTTCTGACATCACATCCTCTGTGCACCTTTTCACATCCCTCCTTCACCCACGTGCCCTTAGCTCCTTTGATGGTGCACTGTTGAATGGTTTCCCTCTCTCATGTTTAGAAAAGTTCCAGTTTTGTGTTGCTAAGTGTAATGTACCATAGAAGCAGGATTGGTGCATATATTCCTCTTGTTGCCTTCCTTTGGTCTGATGAGACTCCTAGCAAAGGCCTAAAGACCCATATCAATATTCAGCATGCTGTAAATCAAAGTCAAGTATCAGAACTGGCAAACGCCATTAGTTTTACAAAACAGAGATATTTCATAACACCTGTGCATGTCTTCATCATAGATATATTCTATGGCATCTTGCACTGTGTAGGGAGCTAAGAGCATGATAAGTATCTGTGTAATGGGTGTGTAGATATATGGATATGATCTGAAAGCAGGATGAAGAGGAACAATTCCCTCTTGCACTTAGCTTGCTTGTTTAGAGGAAGAGTGCATTTATATGATTAAGGACCCAAAACGATGTAAGGAAGGTACAGGCAGAATCAATAGTCTGTTTCTGCTTTTCTCCCTAGCAATGCAGTGTCTTTCCTCTCCTGTGAAAGTCCCCATGTTTATTTGTTTCTCTGTGTGTGTTCTTGCATTGTCCTTTCATAAAAACATAAGCAAATATGAGTACATGTTCTTATCACCCTTCATTTTTACCCCAAAGGTAGTAATTTATATATACTGTACTAAACCTTGCTGCTTTCACTTGACGTATCTTGTAATACTTTCTTTTTTTTTTTTTCTTTCGAGACAGAGTTTCACTCTTGTTGCCCAGGCTAGAGTGCAATGGTGCAACCTTGAC
Organism: Homo sapiens; assembly: GCF_000001405.40. Taxonomy (NCBI): domain Eukaryota; kingdom Metazoa; phylum Chordata; class Mammalia; order Primates; family Hominidae; genus Homo; species Homo sapiens. The sequence continues at coordinate 137,647,455 of NC_000008.11, read as the reverse complement.
TCACTGCAGCCTCCACCTCCCGGGTTCAAGTGACTCTCCTGCCTCAGCCTCCAAAGTGGCTGGGATTACATGTGCCCACCACCACGCCCAGCTCATTTTTTGTATTTTTAGTAGAGATGGAGTTTCGCCATGTTGGCCAGACTGGTCTCGAACTCCTGGCCTCAGGTGATCCACCTAGCTTGGCCTCCCAAAGTGCTGGGATTACAGGCTTGAGCCACCATGCCCGGACAGTCTCTTGTAATGCTTTCTATAATAGTACATACAGGAATGCCTTGTTTTTGATTTTATATTGTATTTACAGTTGGTTTATAACAGAGGCACAGTAAGAATTGACTGAGTGTAGAGGGACATTTGGGTGGATGGTAATATTTTGTGATTATGAGCAATGCTACAATGAACACACCTGTACACATACACACACAGGTGACTATGTAGGATAAGGCAACAGAAATGGGATTGTGGGGACAAATGAAAAATAAATTTTTGACAGGTATTGTAAACCTGCCCTCCATGGGCTTACACCGTTTTGCATTCTAACCAACTAGGTGGCAAAGTTCTTGCTTCTTCAGTGTTGCCACCAAAAATCTGATAATGGAGAAAGGGTATCTCAGTGTATTTTTAAGTTGCTTTTCTCTCTTCTAGAGAAAGGTGAATATAGATTCGTGTGTGTACTGGCAATTTGTAATTTGTGCGTAAGTGTGTATATAGATGTTTGTTTTTATCCTGCTTTGGATTTTTAAAATTGTTTTCCAGTTCTTAGAAATCAAGGTGATAAACTCAGTTGTTGAACTTCAGGTCATCCTGAAGTTGAAAATATTTTGTATCAGTTTTTTCTCTTTTCATCTGACATTATTTACGGTGATTTTTTTTTTCATTTGTATTTACTGTTTTTATATCAAAAGAATTAAATGTATCAATTTAACAACTTCTGTATTTTGAATTAGTTTAAGAAAGATCTTCTTTACCTCAGGTTTATAAGGGAATTAATCTTGTTTTATTTTCATGCTTATATGACTTCATATTTTACGGTGAAATTTTTATCTATTTGAAATTTTACTGGTGTATCCTGCTAAGTTTCATCAATGTAACTCTTCAGTTGTTCAAACCCAATTGTTAAAAAACTTTTAACATTTTAAACATTTAAACTTTTAACATTCCCACTTCAACTTTAGAAGTTACATTTGTCATATATTAAAACTCCATATTGATTTCAAAATATTTCTAGATTTTATGTTTTGTTTTTTTATCTTATTATTTCTAGTTTTAATTGTTTTGAAGCATTATAATATAATATGCCTTATGACCTGTTCAGAATGGTTTTCTGCTGTAGTTCTTAAACAGACTTTCCCTGATTATTATATTCTGTATTTATATAAATCCAACAACCCTTGTATGTAAATATAAATGTATATAAATTTCAAATTTTTATTCATATTACTGTTTTTTATTTCACATATATATGAATTTCAAAGGAAACATGTATGATTTTTATTGTGATCATGGGGCTTTTATAAATTAAATTATTGAGTGTGTTTAGTCCTCTAGGAAGCAGAATCCAAGATAAAGTAAGAATGTGTGACAATGTTTGGAGACTTCTGACTGTGAAAGACTGGGCAAGCGGGGGCAGCGAGAGCTTCAGCCCATAGTAGAGATGGAAAGAGAATTGAGTAGAAGAGCCTCAGCCTGCGGTGCAACTGCGAGCGTCTTAGCCTGCCTAATGGGAGCTTATGGAGCAGAGGTGACCTACAGAGGGAAAAGCCAGCTGCCATGTTGTGAAACACTCAAGCAGTCCCGACGGAGCTCCAGGTTGCCAGGATCTGGAGCTTCTTCCAACAGCAAAGTGGGTGAGGCATTCTGGCAGCAGAACCTCCAGACTCATCAACCACCCGATGATAGCAGCGAGAGCAACATGTTGACGGCAGCCTGAAGAGACTCTGAATCAGACGACCGAGGTAAGCCACACTCAAATTTCATACACACACAGGAAAAATAATTCATTCTTCTTTCGACCTGCTGCATGTGGGGATAATTTATGACATGGTAGTAGATAATTCAGTCACTGCCACCTTCTTCAGTCATTATCTGTGGACTGCCTGGGAAGAGTGTGGGATAGCTCCAACACTGTAGTGGATCCCGAGCTTGCTGAGCTAGAGGATATTAGCTTACTGCTTCCCGAAGGTGACTGGCACAATCTTTCTGCAAGGAAAGTTTGAGTGTATACTCTCATGATTGCCACAAAGAACACAGGACTCTTTCAGGCATTTATTCTTAGCTAAGTCTACCCATACCTTCGGGATTTCTTTTGTGTTCGTGCGTACTGTTTTCTAGTTTCCCCCATGGTCTCTTTAAACATTTATTATTTCCATTGGGTTGTTTAAATCTTTTTTTTTTTTTACTATTATAAGTGAAGTGTTTTCTCTAATCTCTATTGTTTCTACTACAGCGTGTACATGTGAAGGCTATAGATTTCTCAGAACTAATTTTATACTCTACTATCTTACTGAATATTTGTATTGTTTTAAATGGCTTTCTAGTTTGTTCTCGAGTTTTAAAGTGATATTATTATATCACCCTCAAAATGTGATAGTTTTACTAATTATCTTTACCTATCCTTCATCTATTTTCCTTTTCAAATTGCATTAATCAATTTTTCTAGTCCATTAATAAATAGTGGTGGTATCTATCTTCTTGTCTCAGTCTTCTGTTTAAAGAAAGCACTTTCAGTGTTTTTATATTCACCATTTTGTCTGTGTTTGTCTCAGAAGAACAATTATTGGCAAAAATTCCCAATGTTTGTACCCTATATGCTCCAAGGAATTTCACCTTTTTCTCCTCCTCAAGAATTAGGGAGGTTTACTTAAAAGCACATAGAACTATCACAATCCTGTTGTCCAGATGCCTTGAAGAACACAGAAAACAAAATATTCTTATGCTTTTCTAGTAGGCTCAGATATGCATTTTTTGATGTTGTTAACTTGATTAAATCTATCTACGATTTTACTTCTCTGGCCAATAAAATCTAAAATTTATTAACATGCATCTGACTGTGGCTGTTATGTTTATTTTATGTTTTATTTGTGACCAACATGCCCAAGGACAATTTGGGTTTCACTGTTTGATAAGTGATAACACTGATGGAAAATTAAGAATTTGAAAATTCTCACAAAAATGCCACTGAGCTGTTCTAGAGAAGGCTTTGATTTTCTCAGAAATAATTAGCTTTATGGGCCCTTAGATGGACTCCCAGACTTTCTCCCCAAAACCTCAAAGGTTAGTGGGGCACAGACGTGATATGACTGTGCTTAGCATGAAATGGCTGTCAGATTCCTGAAAGATTTCTTTTCTAAAATGTGTTTTAAGTTGGTGGCTATAAGGAAGAAGGCTTGGGTTTAATATCTTTTCTGTCCTCTCTTAGATGAGTTGTTTAAGGCAAAATATTATCACTTCCACTTAAACTGAACCTATTCCTCAGTGAAAAGAAGAACATACACCCTTTTCATCTCACATTCTTGCCATGAAGATAAAAAGTGATCAGTGAAGTCATGCTTTGAAAACTCACAGTTCTGTACAAGTGCAAGTCTTCCATATACATTGAGACCCAATGAGGCAAGAATTCCATATTCCTTATTTATATTTCTCTATGCCTATCACAAGCCACTTCCTTTTATTCTTTTCCAATCCACCCTCCATGTAATCATCAGATTTCCCTTCAATAAATGCAAATATCATCTCATATTCCTCCATTTAAAATTTGATAGTAGGCTCTCAGTGCTGCATAATAAAATCTAAGCTTACCAACAAAGCCAACATAAATGTGGTTGGTGTTCTGAGTCTGGGCTCCCTGCACCCCTTCCTCACTCCTTTTCAACATGCACTGCTCTCCTCTCTGTATTTTAGAAGTCCTGTTCCCTCTCCTTGAATCCCCCTTATCCACTCTGGAGGCACTGTCTCTACTTATCAATAACTCATACCCCTACTTTTCCTTGGCCTAATACCAAACTACAATTCCTAGGCTTCTATTTCTAGACATGCCACAGGATGAAGTTTGGAGCATTTTATGTGAACAGACGTGAGTGCTGCGGCTTCCAGATCCAGTCTCTAAAACCACTTATCAATAGGCAAGATCCAGAAGAACAGGCTGAGAACTCCAGGGGCAAGTCAGTGGCAGGAAGGTGCCCCACATCTGGGTTACTGCATAAAGCCAAACCATAGTCCCACCCTCTCCAGCTCACCTGTGGGTGAAGTGGAGTGTATGAGGTGAAGTGGGCAAGATATAAACCTTTATTGTGCTAATTCCCTGAAATTAAAGTACTTGTAGAGGAGGTGGAATTTCTTATCCAAATAAGGACTTTGCCCTCTCCCTTTCATCAGTTATCTTTAAGGCATAGTTCATGTACCACCTTCCGTAAGAAGATTTCCCTGACCCTTCAGAGAAAGTCCCCTTTATATTGACCTAAAATTTATTTTAAATTGTTGGCTGAAAGGAAGAAGACTTTATATTTACCATAGCAGTATTTCCCTTTCTTATACCAGTCTTTAAAAAATTTGTCTTTACAAATGTTCCACAACTCCCGTGAGGGCCCGAATTGTATCGTCGTACTTTTATGTTCTTAGCAGCATTGCACTGGTAAAAAGACTTTCAATTACGACTTAATAAATAAGTGAATGAGTGAAATAAATCACAGACATTTATTAAAGTTTATACATATAAAGGTGGTGTCGAATATTACATCTGCAAATGTTGGGAACAAGGGTATATTCTTAAGTCTATTTCTAAAGCGATAGGGTATGTTGTTAATCATTTCTTTAGAAACCAACCTTGTAGCCTCCATATGGATAATTTCAATGTAAATCCTATTTCAACTTGGTATTACTTTGACAATATTTTAGTCTGAGACAAAATTCCCTTGCCAGGTAATAGCTTTATAACTCAATGGTATCTAATAAATTTAGAAAAAATGACAGAATTAGATTACTTTTAGTCAATTTTATAAAAGATAAACTACTCTAAGAATACCTATTTGGAAACCTCAATGTCCTCTTGCATTAGCTTTTTGTTTATGTGAGTAAACTATAATTTCAAATTGTTGCTGCTTGTTGACAGAGACTGGGTTTATTAAATGTTCTCAACCCATAGAAACACACAAAGGAAAAGGCTGTTTTGATGGATGCCTCACTGTTCTAGAAATGCACACAGACCCAGATGGATTCAGAGCATTGCATAGCATTTACAGTGGTGTAATTATAATCAACAGCTAAAAAGCGGATCCATTACTTTCTTAAGGCTTTTTTTATGTCTAAGTTAAAAAATACTGAATTATATTTAAAAAGAAAGAGGATAAATGAGGAAGGTTTGCTATAACTAGATGTCAAGGTTTAAGGAAGTATATTACATGGTTTAAATGTACCTGGACACAGAAAGGTCATATTTAACAAATCTATAGCTAACATCATACTCAACAGAAAAAAGTTGAAAGCTTTTCCTGTAAAAACTGAAACAAGAAAAGGGTGCTCAGTTTTGCCCTTTAATCCAACATAGTACTGGAAGTTCTAGCCAGAGCAATTGGGCAAGAGAAAGAAAAGCATTACAATTAGAAAGGAAAAAGTTACATTGAACATTTTCAGATGACATGATCTTATACATAGGAAACCCTAAAGATGTCACCAAAAAAAAAAAAAATCCCGTTAGAACTAAAAATAATTTCAGTAAAGTTGTAGGGTACAAAATCAACATATGAAAATCACTATCATTTCTGATATCAGTGATATTAGTCATATAATCACTAAGAGTGTATTAGTTTGTTCTCACATTACTGTAAGGAAATACCCGAGACTGGGTAATTTATAAAGGAAAGAGGTTTAATTGACTCACAGTTCAGCATGACTGGGGAGGCCTCAGGAAACTTACAATCATGGCAGAAGGTGAAGGGGAAGCAAGGCATCTTCTTCACAAGGCAGTAGATAGGAGAAGTGCTGCCAGGAAAAGGGGGAAGAGCCCTTTATAAAACCATCAGATGTAGTGAGAAGTTACTCGCTATCATGAGAACAGTATTGGGAAACCACCCCCATGAGTCAGTTACCTCCACCTGGTCTCTGCCTTGACATGTGGGGATTATGGGGATTATAATTCAAGATGAGATTTGAGTGGGGACACAAAGCCTAACCATATCAAAGAGCAAACTATCTAAAAAAGAAATAAAACAGTCCCATTTGTAGTACGACAATAAATAAAATACTTTGGAATAAATTTAACCAAGGAGATGAAATATCTCTACACTGAAATCTATAAAAGATTAAGAAATTGAATAAGATTCAAATAAATGGAGAAATCTCCCATGTGTATAGATATTATTAATAACCATATTAATATCTATATTAATGAATATTATTATTACAATCCATATTAATATATTACTAATAAAATTAATATTGTTATTCATACTACCCAAAGCAATCTGCAAATCAATGTAATCCTTACCAAAAGACCAATGATATTCTTCACAGGAGTAGGAAAAACAATCCTAAAATTCACACAGAACTACCAAAAAATTTTTTGAATAGCCAAAGCAATGTGGAGCAAAAAGGACAAAGCTGGAGGCATCACATTTCCTGACTTCAAAATATCTTACAAATCTATGGTAACCAAAACAGCATGGTACTAGCATTAAAACAGACACATAGACCAGTGGAACAGAAAAGGGAGTGCAGAAGTAAATTCACACATTTATAGTCAACTGATTTTCAACAAAGATGCCAAGAACACACAATGGGAAAAGGACAGTCTATTCAATAAATGGTGTTGGGAAAACTAGATATTACCATGCAGAAGAATAAAATTAGACCTTTATCTCACACCACATGCAAAAATCAACTCAAAATTGATTAAATACTTAATAGTAATAGATTAATACTTTCATAGACCCAAAACTATGATGCTACTAGAAGAAAATATAGGGAAAAAAACTTCATGACATTGATCTGGGCAATAATTTTTTGGCTATAACCCCAAAATCACAGGCAACAAAAGAAAAATAGACAAATGAGATTTTATCAAACTAAAAGCTTTTGTACAGTAAAGAAAACAGTCAACAAAGTGAAGAGACAACCTACAGACTGAGAGAAAATATTTGCAAATTATACATCTGATCAGAGATTAATATCCAAAATATATAAGAAACTCAAGCAACTGAAAAGCAAGAAAACAAACAGATTGAAAAACTGGCAAAGGACTTGCATAAACATTTCCTTAAAAATAACATACAAATGGCCAACAGGTATATGAAAAAGTGCTCAACATCACTAATCATCAGAAAATGCAAATTAAAACCAAAGTGAGATTTCACCTCACACATGTTAAAATGGTTATTATCAAATAGACAAAATATAGCAAGTGTTGTCGAGGATGTGTAAAAAAGGGAACCCTTGCCCATTGTTGTTGGTGGGAATATAAATTAGTACAGACATTATGAGAAACAGCATGAGAGCTCCTCAAAAATAAAACAGAACTATCATATGATCCAGCAATTCCACTACTAGATGATACTCAAAAGAAATAAAATCAGTATATCAAAGCGATATCTGCATTCGCTTGTGTATTTCAGCATTATTCACAATAGTCAAGAGATAGAAACAACCTAAGTGTCTCTCAACAGATAAATGGACAAAGAAAAGACAATGTGGTATGTATACACAATGCAATACTATTCAGCCATAGAAAGAAAGAAAATCTTTTAATATCCCACAACCTGGATGAATCTGGAGGACGTTAAGTGAAAAAAGCTAGGCTCAGAAAGACAAAACACTGCATGATGTCATTCATAGATGTAATCTAAAAAAGTAAAAACGTTAATCTCCTTGAACAGAAAGCAGAATAGTGGTTACTAGGAGCTGGGGTACTTGAAAGAGATGTTGGTCAAAGGATACAAAATATCAGTTAAATAGGAGAAATAAGTTCAAGAAGTCTATTATATATCATGGTGACTATAGTTAATAACCATATATTGCAATCTTGAAAAATGCTAAGAAGTGAATGGTAACAATTCTCATCACAAAATGTTAACTATGTGAGGTAATAGACATGTTAATTTGCTAGATTTATTAATTGTATAATGTGTATATACTTCAAAACTTCATGTTGTACACGATAAATACATACAATTTCACCTATCAATTTAAAAAATAAAATAGTACCTTTAAAGGTAGTTTCTTATAGAATCTTTTTAAATGGTTCAAAACTTATTTCCCTATGAATTTCTTATGAATACCAAATAGCTACATTCTTACTGAGGCCTGGGGAAAGAAATGAGGCAGGGAAAGTAAGCAATATACCAACATTTGTATTCCAATAATGTTCATATTACCCACAATCCCTTCTATAAGTTTATAACAGTATTTCTCAAGTGGGAAATTATATATTAATTTAAACTTATATCAAAATGAAAACGTGGTCCAAATTTGTTTTGCTCCTCAACAAAATCACAATGAAAGCTTCCTCTTTTATTTCATAGAGTCACATGAGTGTCATAAGTTATGAGTGACTTCACAACATGTCAAACATATTTTGTAGGTAATAATGGAGTTATTTTACCATGGTCAAAGCTGCCTTTAAAGGTTATTGAGGCTTACTGTCAAATAGAAAATAACATCATTGTATTAACATTAAAGAGACATGGGAATTTGGTCTTTTAAATTCACTTACGTTTAATAATCATTTATAACAGGTTGATATTTTCACATAATTTATATGCATATATATGAATATTATGTTTCATTGCTGTAACTGATATAAGTAAAAATTATCTATATTCTACTAAAAGGAAATCGGTATATTTAGAGGAATTATCCAATGTCATAGCCTAATACTCATCAGAGTTGGATTTCCAAACCATTTTTTCTTCAAATGTATTTTATTTTATTTTTTTAGCAATCACATAGTATTTTTTTTAAGCAAACATCTTAACAAGAAACAATTGTATTATAAACTTTTGTTCTTTTAAACTCTCCAGAATGTCAGAATTACATTGCTTGCTTTCCTTGACAGTCTACTTATACAACTTCATTTTTTCTTGATTATTAAGTATCTCATTCAAGACCTGTCAAGTCCTGCAAAATGTAATTCTACTTTTATAGGCATTTTTGTAATTAAGTTTGTGGGTATTACAGAAAATGTCTAGGGGTGTTTTCTTTAGAAAAAAAAGGATAATAACATTTTACTAGTCTGTGATTTAGCTATTTCTCCCACATATTTTAAGTTTGTGAAAGGTCTTGCAAATGTGTGCCCTAACTGTCCAATATGTTGTCCTGATTTAGTTGCTTCACTAAGGAGAATTTAGACCAATGTCATGGTTCCAGATTCTATAGGCAATGGCTCTTCTATATTACCTGAGTCCTATCAGAGGTATGTGCATTGTGTCTAAGGCAGGGGAAGAGGTTGGTTGATCGAATAAGAAGTGTGAGAAAAAAAATAGGCAAAGGGAGAAAAGTGAAGATGGGCAAATCCTCAAATCCCAAGTGACTGAAACTTCCTGAGGGACACGCTAGGCAAAACATGCCGTTTATCACATAAGAAAGACATTGCATGAAGTATAGTCTATTTTGCTGGGGCTGGACCATATAGGAGGCAGAAGCCCTCCTTCTACCTACAGTGGAAAAAACTTTTAAGTTGCCCCAACCTGGCTCCATCCTTACTCTATCTTCGCTCCACCTTGGTATACAGAATTTCCTGAAAAGTGATGGCTAGCTTAAGAATATCTTATTGCATTAGTCTTACAGTTTCAAAAGACAGTGATTCCAAACTAAAAAGAAATAAAACATTTTAATAAATCAAAAAGATTATTCTTTCAAAACTGGATGGAACAAGAACCTTTAAGCTTTATTCTTCAACCTGAAAGCTGTGTGGCCAGGCTTGTCTCTGCCTTGTAACTATTAAAATTCTCTCCTCCTTTGGAGATGACATGAAAGGCCTGGTTGATGTCCCCCAATTCTCCATAAAGGCCACAATATGTTACAGGCATATATTGGTGTCTTTATATGTAGAAGCAAGACTGAGCAGACATCGACTCCTTACATGTAATTTATATATACAAATTACTCCATGTTATGTGTCTACATGAATGTGTATGTATGAATGTTCATTAGGAAATAACATGAGAATCCCTTTTTTATATTCTCGGATATTGAGGTGCTTGGGAAACATCTACAGTGTTGAGAATGTGGTATCCAAAACATATCTCAAAAAAGAATATGACCAAAATTTATATAGACCAGAAAAACCCTTTTCTCCCAATGTAATATTTTTATAGCCTTCAGATTTTTCCCCCTTCCAGATAAAATATGGTAACCATCTGGGCTGAAAAATAATAAGTTGAGGGAATGTTATTTAAAAATACTAGAAATTCTAGACCCAAATGGCATCACCCACAGTCTTGGGGAATTTCCTTCAACAAACCCCTCTTGTGGTTTGAGATTATAAACCTCTTTGCTGAAATGCAGTGAAAAATCCAGACATCAACAGTACCAATAATTTAATTTTATTTATTGAAAGGTGAAAACTGTTCTACAGTAATTAGAATAAGTAAGTCAGAACTCATTTAATACAAGAGGAGATTCCCATTGCTAAGATGTTCTTTTAAGTTCGTCTCTAAACCACATTGACTCAATGGCCATCAAACTCATGCCTTTCTTCCACTAGTTGGATGCCTTCTTGGTCATTCTCCATTGTCTTGTGAATGTGACCTTAAACAATGCAAATCTGCTTTATTGTACTCCCCTACAATGCCTCTCAATCACCTTTAAGAAGAAAATTCAGCTCCTTATCTTAACACAAAAGCACTTGGATCCAATTCAGAGCTCTTCATTTTAAAAAGGACTTTGAAAAACAAGAGTGCATCTAGAGGACAGTGATAAGGTTTATCGAGGATCTGGGAATCTTGACAGAATAAATGTCTTAAAGAACTGAGGTCCTAGAAATGGGGATGAGAGAAAGTTATGGTAAGAAAGTTATCAGTGCAGGATGAAGGTGTGTGTTACAACCAGTTTAGTAGAGAGTACAGAATGTTGCCATTTGGAATAGCTTCATTTCTTCAGTGTAAAGAGGGTACAAGTATACACTAGCTGTGAATATTCAGGAAAGTTTTATAATCAGTTTTCACCACAGTTTATATTTCTCTAAAATTGTATAATAGGAGTCTCAATCTCATAGGGTTGTGGTGAGAATCAAATCTATATGAAACTTAGTATAATTTCTTTCCCATAAGTAAGTGATTACTAATGCTGATTATAATGACTGCTATTCCCATTATTTTTCCATAAGAGCATTTCAAACATGAAACTAACTGCCTTGGAAGGTATTGAGTTGCCTCTTCGAAAATAAACTCCTTTGGATATCTCAGTACTCCTATAAAAAGCCCTAACCTCCTGAGATATGGAAATGACTATGGTTAAAGATAGAAAATGTTGCTTTCACTTCCCCTTGATGCATTTCACTCCTCATATCCCATGAGAATAAGCTCTGTAGTCATTTTCCTAGTTAACTGATCTGATCCCAGAGGGCTAAAAAATTACAGTTCCAACTAGGCCCCTAAATTAAGCCCTGCAGACCCAGAAAGACAAGACTGCCATCTCTCCAGCTGCTTGCATTTCAAAACATTGTGAAGGGCAGACCGAAGAAGACATCTTTAGGATTTAAAAGACTGAACCCTGGGTTTACTTGGTCCTTGTTGGAGACAGATTTACCTTCCAAAACATTAGGGTGATAACCTGGGATCCCTTCTATTATGTCTCAGTTGAGCAAAAGTTTGTTGCTTTCCTTGCTGAAAGGCAGGAGGTCAGCTGTCACTCTCCTGCATATAAGGAGAGAGAGAACCTATTCTTCATGTCTGCCTTTGGAATGTCCAGACAGGCTTGTAGAAGGTGTCACCATTTTCTTCTCATCTCCTTGACCCAGGTGGCAAGGGGTGATGGTGTGCTTATTATTTCTTGCAAGGTACTTAGTAAGAAACCCATCTGTGATCCAAAATACCTTCTCTGGGCATGCAGAATAAAATTAATAAAGATGAATATATTTTTTTAAAAAAAGGTTAATAATAAAGAGATAGGTCAATACTAATCATGAAAATGTAAAAAGGACTATTAATTTTATAGAAGTGTGGATCTAGCTGAGGTCCAGCAGAGCTGTGTGGAGAAGTGTGACATGGTCATTTTCTACATATATTATCCTCTCGGGGAAAGGGGAAATTTGTTCCTTGTGCATGGGGTTCTTAGTTAATGCCATAAGATGATGATATAAATGGGACTTGCAAAGGATAAAAAATAACATTGGAGCTCTAGTGCTTGGTCTGGAAGTTACACTATTATTAATGCAGGCCATGGTTGTTTAAACGTTTGGAAACCATATCACACCCCTTGGACTTTCTGATTATGTGAAGAATGCCTCTGTGGAGTTAAGTACAGCAGGAACCTGGCCCAATGAAATAACCTGGAAATAAAATGCAAGAGGAACTGATTTCCTGTCCTGACTTCAGTTTATGATTCTCCAAACTCATTTTCATCTCACGGCCTTTCAGTTTGCTGGTTTCAGGAATGATTTTTCCTCTGTTATTTGAGTGGTCTTCTCATTACCCAAATGCTATTCTCACATTGCTTACTTTGGAAGGCTTTTTCTTCAATCCTAGCAAAAAACCAGCAAACACTTTATTTTTGTATTTTATAAACTTCAGAAAGGATTTATTAGGACATAGAGAGAGTAGGTGTTTAATAGATATTTGAAGATGGATTCACAAGTTTTTCTTCTTGGTTACGTGATTGAGCTCCCAACTTATATAATTTTTGAAACTGCTGTGTGTTATACGCTTTTAAGGAGTGGCCTCCTAGCTTTCTGCTAAGAGGAGCTTTTCTGCTATTACACATCTTTATAAAAGTACACCATCTAGTACACATCTTTATAAAAGATATGTAATAGGTTTAGAAAGAATCTGCCTCTGTTTTCTGAGTATATCATGATTGAGAAGTGACCTTTCCTTCTAAGATGGCTTTAAAACCGTTCCTTGTAATTCCCACTGTCAGATATTATTTAAAGTAGTTTTTGCTCTCGCCTCTACCTATATGAAATCACATCTACCTCTACTGCCCTCACCTTAAAACTGAAAATGTAGTCTTGTTTCTACCTATGGATAACCCTCTGTTTATTCTGTGGTTTTTATCTCCTCTTATCTGATCAATGGCATGGCTTCTGAAGTTATCGCTTCGCTTTTGAATCATTCTTTTTCTTCTTCTTGTCCTTCTTTATTAGTTCAGCATGCAAATGTGCAAGCCTGTAATATATTCTAACTACTGGCCCCATGTTAGCTATTTTTATTTCTTTTCTCCGACTCCATCTATGCAAAGATTCCCAAAGAGAGTATCCTCCACTCCCATTTCCACTCACCACAGCACACTTCCCCCTTGAACATTCCCAGTCAGATTTTATCCTAGCTCTCTGTTAAATATTCCTTTTAAGACGTACCAATGACATCTGTTTTTGCAAAATCTAGTAGAAATTTGAAATTCTCCTTTTAATTGAATTCTAGGTAGCAATAATCACCATTTTTGCTGTGAAACACTATTTTCATTAGTCTATGATACTTTCAATATTTTCTCCTGCCTCTTTTGTCCTTTCTTCTCAGTCATATTAGTTAATCATTTTCCATAGACAAACTTCTAACTATATACTCAATTTAGAATTTGAAAGCCAAACATATGATCAAGTATGCAGATTTTAAAATATGGTATAAACAAACAAAAAGGAATGTGGCAGTGGGATGGAGATACAGGCACTGAAAGGCAACAGTACAGATGCAAAAGAAATTAAGTCCCAGCATGATATGGAAAAAAATTCCTAGATCATAACTGGAAAGCAGATCCCAAGACCAATCATCTAGATAGTTTACATGGGTTTAGAAATGTTTCTTTGGAGGTAAAAATGTAACTTAATTTGACAGTTTAGACTGTGTAGAAAATGTATTGGAGAGATACTTTAAAGATTTTTAAAGGATATAGAAAGACACAGATATCAAATAAATATACAACCAAAAAAGTAAGTTATTATTCTCAAGGATAATGCAAAATTGAACAAGAGTAATTTATTAACTGTACACTGACTCAGCAGTGGGCATTTTTATAGTCAGAATATTGAAATTAGCATACAGTAGATAAGGCCATTGATATATTTTTTTCCTCACTCTGTTGCCCAGGCTGGAGTGCAGTGGTGCAATCTCGGCTCACTGCAACCTCCGCCTCCTGGGTTCAAGCGATTCTACTGCCTCAGCTTCTCAAGTAGCTGGGATTACAGGTGCTGCCACCACACCCAGCTATTTTTTGTATTTTTGTAGGGACGGGGTTTCGCCATGTTGGCCAGGCTGGTCTCGAACTCCTGACCTCAGGTGATCCGCTCACCTTGGCCTCCCAAAGTGCTGGGATTACAGGTGTGAGCCACCATGCCCTGCCTCCATTGATACATATTTATATTGTATTTGGAAAGTGCAAGTGGCAGTATAAATGAACTAAGATCCTAAAAGTGGGAGGTAGGAGATAAACTGAAGCAGAAATAAAAATAAAAATATAGTATAAGCAAAATAAAACTAAAAGTAGAGAAGTTTGCCTCTGGGAGCAAGATGGAAGTGGAAATAGAGAAAAAGCACTGTGTCTTGAAACTGTTGTGTTATAAGCCTTTAGCTCTAACTGGCATGTTCATTACAGCATGTAATAGTTTGATAATAAATAAAATTAAAGTGAGTAATTCCCAGTATATATCATTCCAAATTAATCCAATCATGTGTCTTTTCCTGTGGACTCCACATTGTTTTCCTCTTTGTCTTGAGTATGGGGGTACCTCCCAAGCAGAAAGTAGGGTTAGCCTTGAAGCTTCCCAATGGGGCAGGAACAGAAGTACCTATTCAGGTGTGTGACCCAGTCACATTTAGCCGTGGAGTTATCTCCCCATATGCTGGAAAACCTATGAGCAGGCACTTTTTAAGGAGCTTCTACTTTGCTTTTGATGCCTATACATTTGACCGAGAGAAGGTTGGAGCTTTGAGTATGGCACCCATATAATCAAATTTAAAGAAAGTTTGGATTGTGTTTTCTTTGGAAGTGGAAACTTCCTTAAACATAGTCTTTTAGAGGCCACATTCTATCTACTTTCTTGAGAAATGTGTGTTGATTTTGGGAAGCAGTAAGTGCCTGCATTTCTAAACTGTGAGTTCTATCACACTAATATTTATTAGATGGTTCAATAAAGAAGTTAGTAAATAAAGTAACGAATTAATGACTGATTTTTTCCCTGCCACAGGAACAAAACAAGACTTTGGTGCTTAGTTTACGTGGACTCCAAAACTGCTGAGGCTGCAGATTCTTCCCCCATCACTTATTGATGGCAAAGGGGTCTGACTAGGCAGAAAAGCAACTCGTCCATCCAGAGTTCAAATTATTCCTGAACGGGATGGAGGTTTTTGGTTAATTTAGTTTCTAAGTGAAGCTGCCATCCAAAATTTCATCAATGTGAAGAAAATCTAATAGGTCAAACATTTCAATCTCACATTCATAGATGCAACAAGATAATCCATACTGCCCATCACCCTGTGCATTTTTATGGTACATCCTGGGCATCTATCTCTGAGGTCCTTGATGAGAAATTATAGATCCCTCCCTCAGAGAGAGGGAGCTTGAACCATTCTATTGTCAAGTTAAAGTGTCCAATTTGAAGGAAAATTTGAAAATAGAAACATTTTGCTCTATTTAAACTGAGTTAAAAAAAATACTAGGACTTTCCTACAATAGAGCGGCAACCAAGGGGTAATGGAGACAGTGCTGGACTTGGAGTCCTAAGACAGGAGTTCCAATTTGGTGTCTTTGTTACTATACTTTGTTGAGTTTCTGATCTCAAATCTATAAAGAATGACAGTAATCATGACTCAAAGACTGGTTATAAATATTACTGAAGTGTGCAATCAGCAGACTATCCATTCACCAAGTATATTTTTTGGAATCTACGAAGTAGCAGGCACTGGACTGCATACTGCGGTTTTGGTGGTGCTCAGGAGAGGGGCTGTGGAGGGGCAGTATCTGTGACAGTGCCTGGGGTACAGAATAGGGTATTTCTCCAGCATTCTTTTACTGACGAGTATTACTGGTGGACGAGAAATGAATTTCTCCACGCACAGAGATGGCTTTATGTAGGAGTATTACAATAGAAGAGAATTATCATTGTATTTCCTATATTTTGTGATTCAGAATCCCCATAGATCGCACGGAAAGGGTTTGAATGAATAGACAGCACAATGAAAGAAGGAGGGCAAGACAGGGCGACAGAAAAGGGTTGAGTGGAAGTGGGATGATGAGAGCAGGGTTCTAAATTTAACCTACTTCCACTTACAAACCCATCTGGAAAGGAAGAAATAAACCTACCTAAAGGAGGAAAGAAACACACACAATGCGTCAATAGTCATTTTTAGTGCTGGATTAGCCATGACTACATATGGCAAGTAGGCTACTGTCCACGTACAGACTGAAAACACCCAGGAATGTGGATCTGTACTCACTCAACACCTTGAATCTCATGTCTTTGTGCAGAAACATGCCAAAGCATTTATTTTCTTTTTTTTCTTCCTTTCTTTTCTTTCTTTTTTTTTTTTTTGTCTGAGACAGAGTTTCGCTCTTGTTGCCCAGGCTGGAGTGCAATGGCCCGATTTCAGCTCTCTACAACCTCCAGCTCCTGGGTTCAAGCGATTCTCCTGTCTTAGCCTCCTGAGTAGCAGGGATCACAGGCACATGCCACCGTGCCTGGTTAATTTTTGTATTTTTAGGAGAGACGGGGTTTCACCATATTGGTCAGGTCAGTCTTGAACTCCTGACAACAGGTAATCCGCCTGCCTCGGCCTCCCAAATGCTGGGATTACAGGCATGAGCCACTGCACCTGGACTCCATTTTCATTTTCTAAAATTGTTCTTCACTGGGTCTTTGCCTTTGCATCCTGCTTGCTGCCTTGACACTTAGGACTGGCCATCAGGTGGTTTCATTAACAAGATATTTTCATTTCAGATTGGTATTTATAGTCTTAGCCAAAGAAATAACTATTGAAAGAAATCTTGGTCAATGATGGTGGAAAGCTGGGAGTGACATGGTTGGTCTTATTGATTTTCCTCAAATGTGAATTACGCAAATTGGTCAGAATCCTAGTGAGCCTTTGATTGACTGATTGATTGATTGACAAGATAAAGCCACTTAACATGAAATCTACCCTGCTAACAATATTTTATGTTCACAGTAGCATATTGTTAACTATAGGCACTATGATGCACAGCAGATCTCTAGAATTTATTCATCTTGTCTACCTCTAACTTTATACCCATTGAACACCTGCCCGTTTCTCACTTTTCTCATCCCCTCACAATCACCATTCCATTTAATAAGTTTGACATTTTTGACAAGATTGGCAAAAGTTACATAGGGTCTGCAGATTACAGGGGTCAATTAAATGTGCAATGTGTCAGTGTTAATTTCCTGATTTTAATGATTGGATTGTGGGTATGTAGAAGAAAGTCTTTGTAAGCAATTACATTAATTGATTTGAAGTGATGAAGCATCAAGATAAGCCAAAGAACATTATTTGTACTGTACTTGCAGGTTTTTTGTAAGTTCTAGATTGCTTCACAACTTTAAAATATATTAAAAGTATAAATTTTTATTTTATTTGATATAATTTGTACTTTGTATTATAATGTTAGTAATCTTTTGTAAGTCTATTATAATATATTATTAAATGTTAAGTTTTGATTTATTCTATTTAATTTAAATTTTAATGTGATTATATTCAAATATGTACTATTTTAATATAATTATATTTTATTTTTGATTCATACGTAATAATAAGAAAAGTTTGGATACTGAGAAAAATAGATACAAAAGTTTTTTTTTTTTTTTTTTTTTTTGAGATGGAGTCTCGCTCTGTCACCCAGGCTGGAGTGCAGGGGCGCAATCTCAGCTCACTGCAAGCTCTGCCTCCCGGGTTCATGCCATTCTCCTGCCTCACCCTCCAGAGTAGCTGGGACTACAGGTGCCTGCCACTACGCCCAGCTAATTTTTTTGTATTTTTAGTAGACACGGGGTTTCACTCTCTTAGCCAGGATGGTCGCGATCTCCTGACTTCGTGATCCGCCCGTCTCGGCCTCCCAGAGTGCTGGGATTACAGGCGTGAGCCACCGCGCCCGGCCACAAAAGTATTTTAAGAAAAGAAAAACTAATAGTTAAAATTAAATAGGAATTCTTAAGATTGTTTTGATTAAATTTTTAGGAAATTTGAAACAATAAAAATTAGCAGATTTCCATTAAATGGATATTACATTTAATTTATATGCCTACAGGATATTACACATTCTTTACAGA
Source organism: Homo sapiens (assembly GCF_000001405.40). NCBI lineage: Eukaryota > Metazoa > Chordata > Mammalia > Primates > Hominidae > Homo > Homo sapiens. Next base: position 137,629,037 of record NC_000008.11, on the reverse strand, counting down.
GAATTACTCATAAGGCTGGCCTTTCCATTGTAAGATAAAGAAAATTACACTTAAATTGAACAAGAAAGACAAAAACACTTTGAACTTTGCTATTGTGATGAATGATGGTTCTGGAAAATGTTCATCACAGCTGTGTGAGATTATAAGGAGGTTTCTAGGAAAAGAAATCTAATTTTGACATTAGTTAGTATGTAATAAAAAATTTCTATTAGAAGATTATGAGAGAAAGTAGTATTTTTTTAGGATTCTACTGATACTTTCATATATTTATTATATCTTAATTTTAATTTTTATTAAAAATAAAATTTTATTATTTTATACGTAATAATTGTATATATTTGTGGAGTGTGTGTGATATATTGATACATGCATATGATGTGGGATAAGGAAATCAGGGTATTTAGGATCTCCGGAACCTGGAAGAGTTATCATTTCTTTGTAATAGGAACATTTCAAATCTTCTTGTCTAGCTATTTTTAAATATAAAACATATTACTGTTAATTTTACAAGAAAAGTCTTTCAGATTAGAAAGTAAGTGGATTTTATATACTAAATTTAAAGACACAGTATTTTGTTATTACTCTTACATATTTCACAATACATCTTTAATATCAACTTTCATGAATGAAGATTTTATAATTGGCAACACTTAAATATTTATACCCAATAAAACATCCATGGGATTACAAGAACAGAAAAAAAAAAAAAAATCACAAGCCAGTAATATTACTCAACCAAGACAAGTGAACACTTATCCAGAACTTTGAATAATTTGAAGAAAAATAATATTTAGTGGTGCATAACAAGGGTAACATGGCACTGATGGTCCAATATTTACAGAGAACAATTTAAAATTCCCAAGTTCAGTAGAATTCTAAAAGCTAATGTCAGAATGGCTAAACCTATAAGATGGGGAGTAGTGGGAGAGAAAATAAATGAAACAATGATCCTTCTCTAACATGAAGAATTTAAAATGAAAGTAATAATTGAACAGATATTAATGTGAACAGATATTAATATGAACAATAAATTGCTTGCACAATTTAAAAAGTATTTTCAGTTCAAACATTGTTGGTAAAGAAAAAGGAGCGCAACTCAGAATGCTTGCCAAAATTCCAGAGCCTTCTTTGAGCTTTTCATTGATACATACTTTAAATTTTTTATTAGAAAACATGGCCTCAACTGTGCTAATAATGATATTATTTAGAGCAATCAAAAGATTGACATGCTGTTTTCTGGATCTTCCTAAACCATTTTCATAAAGCATCTAATGTTTTTCCTAGGTGCACAACAAAACGCTAATAAGGAATTAGAATGAACTTCCATGAGAAATGAGAAGAACATGAGATATTAGGCTAGTTGAGAGAATATCTGCTAGTAGAGTTGTGGTTCTTTGAGGAGGCAGATGTGTCTGGAGTGGCTGAGTGAGGGAGGCCAGGGGACTGCAGGATGCTAGGGGCTGCCGACGAGTGAGACTCTACATCTTTGCCTGCCAAGAAGAGCTCCCACATACCCCAACTTTACTGTATTAAACACTGGGGATTCCTGTGATTGAGCAAGTGAAGATCTGCTTGTGGAGGGTTTTTCAGCAAAGAAGTGACGTGATCTAACATAGTTCAAAGGATTCCTGTGTAGACCAAAGCTACACACTGAGCATAATGAGTGTATTAGACAGAAGGCTCCATCCTTCAATATCCAGGACGACGTGGTTTTGTTGCACCAATTCTATATTCTCTATCTCAGAATTCCTTATAAGAGAAAAAAAAAATAAAACCAAGCAAAAGCATCCAAATAAAACTAATTAATGAAGCCATTGTCTTTTCTTCTTAGTCTTCTCCCCATCTTCTTCATTTTACTATTTATTGTCCTCTTCTTAACACCTGAACACCATGCTAACTCCAGATAGATTAGAAAAAAGGCTTTTAAATGGCAGAGACATCTGATGTGAGGCTCAAAAGAAGAGACAAATGTCAACAGCAAGTGAAACTAGCAGAAAAAATAATAATTTTGGGAAAGAAGGTGTCGGCTCAGAAATGGGAACTCTCAGGGCACTCTTAGAGTAATTAGAGTGAAGAGATTGGAGTGAGAATGCAAAAGTGAAAGAGACACGTTTATGAAAGCTGCATTATAAAGGGGCTCCACTGCACACTGAGGAGTTCCTTTCCACCAGCACTGCCCCAACCCACTAATTCCAAGCCATTTGATGTTTTTGAGAAGACGATCGATAGGATTTGAACTATTTTCTCAAAGAACTAACTGGCACTGGTGTAAAGAAAGGGTGGACACTGGGAAGATGAGACTGAGTTTAGACTACGGAAGGGCAAGTCTGTGTGCTAGAAGCCACACATCCCCATAGCCCATTTCATATGCATTTACTCAGCAAGGGCTCTGTGTGCCCAGGGTCTGCAGCTTCAAGCTGAAGGCGCACCAGCCTGTTTACCTGGCTTTCTCCAAGAAAAACCTACTATAGGGGACCCTTGAAAGAACATTGATGAGGAAGCTGAGTTTGGAAAGCATCCAGGCTTGGATGGCTCTGCATCGATCTGTGACCTACAGGCTATGTGACTTTGGACAAGTCACTTAAACTCTCCATGTCTCATCTGGGAACAATAATACCTACCTTAAACAATTATCTGCAAAAACTAAACAATGCGGCTGGGTGCAATGGCTCATGCCTGATCCATCCCAAGGAGGGTGGATCACCTGAGGTCAGGAGTTCAAGACCAGCCTGGCCAACACGGTGAAACCCCATCTCTACTAAAAATATAAAAATTAGCTGGGCATGGTGACGTGTTCCTGTAATCCCAACTACTCGGGAGTCTGAGGCAGGAGAATCACTTGAACCCGGGAGGCGGAGGTTGCAGTGAGCCGAGATTGCACAGCTGCACTCCAGCCTGGAGACAGAGCGAGACTCCATCTCTAAAACAAACAAACAAACAAACAAAAAACAAAACTAAACAATGCATGGCTGTCCTGTGCCCTGTGTCATGCAGAGTCCATGTGGGATACAGAGGAGCTCTTTTTAGCCTGCAAAGAACTAGATTCTTACCTGCCTTGCAAAATGTATTTTAAATGTCTCCTGTGCTGGAAACTTTCCCTGTACTCTCCATCCTCAGGTAGGGGATTCACTTTAATTTGGATGCTTCTAAGAATAACATTGGTAATCCAGTGCCTTGCCCTGCCTTCCCTGTGATGTTTATTTTTTCAGGTGTCATAGAACTCTAATCCACAGGGTGGCGCTATTTGCTGAACGACTTGTTCAGTTATGAAATTCCTTCAAACCCATGTAATATACTTCTTATTTCTTCCTACCGTTTTAACTTTGGATGCTTTTCTTTCTCCCTCTCTGCCCTGCAGTCCCCTCATCCTTCCTCATAACCGCTTTCCGTCCCCTTCGCTTTCTCTATCTCTCTGTTCTGTTCCCACTCCTTTCAAAGGTATGATATACTAAAATGAGACAATGTGTCAAAAAGATATTAAATAATGGGTAGTGATTGGTATGAAATTGCTTTACTCCATACAATAACTCCCTATTATGTGTGATTAATCAACAGCATATGGCTGCTGGAAGAATGCAGTTCCTGCCAAAAGATTCTTTGATTTAGCTGAAACATAAACAAAGTACACAGTGCTTATTTGCATAACAAAGAGCTAGTTGGGGTGAGATAAAATATGCATCTATTAAAAAATGCTGTCTTGAGACTCCCAGTTAACCAGACACTGGCCTAATGATAACGGAGGAGAGAAATGGGGTTAAATACTGTGTGGCGCCCTTCCGCAGCCCCTCTCCTGCTGATTAGAGCTGGATTTCCCTCTGCTGACTTGCAGAAGCCAGTGGTCTGGAAAACTGTGATGGTGAATATTGAGTGTCAACTTGACTGGATTGAAAGATGCAAAGTATTGTTCCTGGTGTGTCTGTGAGGGTGTTGCCAAAGGAGATTAACATTTGAGTCAGTGGACTGGGGGAGGCAGACCCACCCTCAATTTGGGTGGGCACCATCTGATCAGCTGTCAGTGCAGCTAGGATAAAAGCAGGCAGAGGAACGAGGAAGGATACCTGGAAGGGCATGTATGCTTCCTGCCCTTGAACATGGAACTCCAAGTTCTTCAGCTTTTAGACTCTTGGACCTTCACCAGTAGTTTGCCAGGGCCTTTGGCCACAGACTGAAGGCTGCGTTGTCGGCCTCCCTACTTTTGAGGTTTTGGAACTTGGACTGGCTTTCTTATTCTTCAGCTTGCAGACGGTCTATTGTGGGACTTCACCTTATAATCATGTCAGTCAATATTCCTTAATAAACTCCTTTTCTTATATACATCTACCCTATTAGTGCTGTCCTCTAGCGAACCCTGACTAATACAGAAGCCCTCATGAAAGGAGGACATTCTATTCCTCCAGGGCAGGGAACAGGGAATGGTGCTTTCTAAACTATGGCACCCAAAGTGGAACCTCCCATAAATAAAATTCTTCAGCTATTCTAAGGAGCTGGATATTTAATAAAGACCAACTATGCAAAAGGTCAGCATGGGGGCTAGTCTCATGCAAAGGGAGAAAAAAAGATAAGCGTCTTCTTAAAGTAGTCTTTCATCACAAAAACTCTCACTCCACGCCATCCCAGAGCCATTTGAAAGAACTATGTTGTAGGTTGAATGTGTTCTTCCAACATATATGTTGAAGTACTAATCTCTGGTTCCTGTGATCTCATTTGGAAAAGGGGTCTTTGCTGATGTAATCAAGTTAAAATGCAGTCATACTGGATTAGGATGGACCCTAATACATTGACGAATGCCCTTGTAAAAGGATAGTTGGACCCAGAGGAGACACAGACACAGAGGGAAGATAAAAGCAGAGACTGGAGTGATGCATTTATAAGCGAAGGAATGATAAAAATGCCAGCAACCACCAGAGGATATAAATGAAGAATGGAGTAGATTTTCCTTCAGAGTCTCCAGAAGAAACCGATCCTGCCAACATCTTTATTTCAGACTTGCAGACTCCTGAACTGTGAGAGAAAATGTTCCTTCTTCTCTAAGCCACTTAGTTTGTGATGCTTTGTTATGGCCATCCTGGGAAACTCAGATAAAGATAACTTGGGACATTCATCATAATTTAGGAAATGTTTTTTGCAGGCTATATAATTTTAATGGAATTATGAATATTTTCAAATGGATACTCGGAGAAGTCTTCATGTTTATGTGATACCAACACTTATTTACAGTGAATTTGGATAAGAAGTAACATCCACTCAGCGACCCACATTTTGTAGGTTTTGCATGTTTCAGACGCTGTGCTATCAACTGAAGAGATAGCAGTGAAAAGTCTATTTTGATGAATGTTATACTTTCACCAGGTTTTATGTAGTTGCAGCAAAATGTGACGAGTGCCATTCTCAGGGAAGAAAAAAAGTGGGGAGAGAGCTCTGAGGACACACATCAATTCGCTTCAAGGAAGGCCTCTCTGATAAATAGACTCGTAAAACTCAAGATGAGCTCCTGCGTTCAGGCCAGAGCCTTGGTGACATCCAGCTGGATCCAGGTTCCAGTGCTCCAGGGAAGACCTCTGAGCAATGTGTCCCTGCATAGCTGAATTCCACCTCAACATGCCACATTCCAAAGGAGAGCAAGCTGCTTTGATTCTGGCCTCTGTCTTGTTTCCAGTTTCTCAAGTGAGGGACTGGAGCCCTGGCCCAAATCCCAGATTGCTGATTAGGGCCTCACTGAACTTGGACCAGTTTTGTGGTTTTCCATACGACTTTTGCACAAATGTGGATGCCAGTTCCTAGATGCCTTACGCTGTGTTCACCCAGCTGATCTAAACCCCACAGCCCCCTTCCAGACATGCTGATACACACCGTAAATAATTTCTACTGCATATGTATGTGTGTAGGCATATGTGTTTAAAAGAGAGAAAAAATAGAAAGACTTGCAGGGAGAGGCTGAGACTACTGTACTTTTGAGACATTGTATCTAATATACCCTGCTATACATCTATTCATCCCTCCTCTGTCTTAGCATCTCCCTGTTTTTTACATGGAAGATAATCTAGAATCATGTTCTTGATGGCTCACTCTCTTCAACTACTTTCTGTTAACAAAGGAGCCACCTTTTTGCAAACCACAGCAGGACAATGATAAGTCTAAGTCTGCACTCTGATTGCCTTAGCCCCTTGTTTGTTTCTAGCCCAGAACTCTTCAACTCAAGAAATGCACGTTGTTTTTTCCGTCTAATTGGTCAAGTGGGAAATATTCAAATGGTCTTTAATTTCTCTCCTTTTATCTCCCACATTTGATCCTTTACAACATTTTGCTAATTTTGTTTCAGAATATATTTAAAATCTGCCCTTTTCTTTTTATCTTTTCTACCAAAATCCTAGTATAAGCCATCCTGTTCTCTTTGACTATTGTAATATGCTCTTAAAAATTACGGATTATATGTTCACCCTCCTCTAATATTTTTACAAATGGCAATCAAAATTATCCTCTTAAAAGTAAATCAAATTAGGCTATTCTTGTATAAAACATTTTGCTAACTTTACATGGCTATCCATGTAATTTAGGGCAAGTTATTTCCTGCCTCTGTGCCTCGGTTTACATGTCTGTAAAATAAAGAGTATGGTAGTAGTCCCATATGATAGTTGTGACAAATAAATAAGTTAAAGAATGTAAAGTGCTTAAGGCACAGAGTAAAACTCAGTAAATGTTAATTTTAATTATCTTTACAATTATCATTATCAATATCATTATTATCATATTTATAATCAAATCAAACCTGGAATCTTGGCCCTCCTTGACCTATCTCCTAGCTGTTTGTGCCTTGGCACCCCATACACTCCCTCATGAAGTTCCAACCACCAACACTTCCTTAACCTCCTTTCCATCTCAGGACATTTGCACCTACTGATCTTTCTACTTGGAAGCTTCTCCCGTTATTCTTGTGGCTGACTCCTCAGAGATTATGAGTCAAATATTATCGCCTTAGAGACATCTCCTGACTATCCATTGAACTCGTAGTCTTAGTTATTTCTTTCATAGAAAAAATTCAATTTGTAATTATAGTTGTTTTTAATTGTTTATTGTTGGTCATCTTAGTACTCACCCTCCCCTAGACTGCAAGCTCCGTGAAGACAGGGATCATATTTATCTTGTATTTGTTGTGCCTCTAACACCTAACTTAGCTCCTAATATTAAGCCATGCTTAATATTTATGAAATGTCCTCAGTCTGTCTTCCTAAAAAATTCTCACATTACTTCCCACTTGGCGACACTGTACTATTTATGTATTTATGTATTCATTTATTTATTTTGAGAGGGAGTCTCACTCTGTCACCCAGGCTGGAGTGCAGTGGCATGATCTTGGCTCATTTCAACCTCTGCCTTCCAGGTCCAAGTAAAATAATAAGGATGATGTACTTAAGACATATTTTATTACAATGTGATACATTACGATTTAGTTCAGGGATGTTCAGCGAATTTCTCAAACTCACACAGCACCTACATCCACTGAACTCCAGACTAGTTCTGTGCTCCTAGGATGATGCTGCCCTTCAGGAGGTTGATGACTTCGTCAAAGCCAAAGAGCCATTGATGGAAAACATGTCATTGCATTGGGGCAATTTTGCTATGTCCCTTCTCTATGCAACATTTAAAGTCCTGAAAAAAGGCAGTTATTGTCCCAAATGGAGATTTTGTTTTTGTTTTGTCTTAAAAGACTTTATTTTTGTAGAAGCACTACAGATAATATATGCTAAGATTAAAAATGTTGCTAGGTGCAGTGGCTTACTCCCTTTCTGTGGGCCTGAGCAGGATCTGGGGATGTTTTGAGCAGAAAGAAAAAGTAATGAATAAAGAGAAGCCACAGAGGGACTGATGTTTCTCCTCCTCAGTGCCTTCAGGGATCACTGGAATGGACGGGGTCCTGCTCCTCTCCACAGGCTCCCAGGATTCCGATGGCACTGGGGGGAGACGTTGCACTGATGAAGAATTAGAAAATTCTAGAGCACTAGCGCTTGTAAGTCACATCATTTAATTCCAATCTTTTTATTTTATACAGTGGATGAGATAGATATCCAAAGAGAGGCAGGGACTTTCCCAAAGCAATACAAATGGTTAATAGAGGATTTGGGACCAAGACAGAAATGGCCAGAACCGAAGACCAGAGCCCTCTAAAGCCAGCTCACTACAACAAAGGGTGTAGCAACCCAAAATTTCATTAAAAAATAATATTTTTTCTAAGTTATAATATTAAATAGAAACAGCTGATTTCAAAGTATAGCAAATGACACGAAGTCTTTAAAATGTCATAACATAAAAAAGTCCTCCCGTGCATAATATGCATAGATACAAGACAGAAGAATTGAGCCTGGGCCGTTATCAGTATTTACTTCTGTGCTCTAGGTGTAAATAAATTGTTTCCTTCTTTGCGCTTTTCCGATTTTCCCTAAATTTCTAAAAATTACATGTAATATTCTTTGTAGGCAGAAAAACAAAACCAAACAAAGCTAATAAAAGTTTTTTGTGCAAAACCAACAGAGTGATGATATTGCCTTTTCATACTAGCCTACTATTTTTTTTTCTCATACAGCAAGGTAAAAACATAGGAACTTTCATATCACCACTCATTCTTTTCAAAATGGAATTCAACAAAATACAAACTATTTCCCCGGGAGCATCTTCTCTTATCTGCTACCATTTTCAATGAAAGCATTTTAAAATCATCATTCTTTGCCCCCAAACCAGTGTTCTGTATTTTCTACTTTATTAATGTTCTGGGAGATAAATGACTTTGTAACTTTTTCTGAATTTATATTATATTTTCTATGTGTGTAATTGATAGCCAGCAGTATTCTGATTAATTCTCAACAACCACTGAGTCACTAAATGATGATGGATATCTAACAACAGTATTGAGACAAAGTAGGTGCTCAATAAATATTCCTGAAAGGGAGGAAAGAAGGGAAGAAGGGAAGAAAAAAGGAAGGCAGGAAGGCAGAGAGAAAGGAAAGGAAGAAAGAAGAAAGGGAGGAAGAGACAGAGGGAGGGAAGATGATGACTGATGAGACAAATAGTTGAATAAAGTGAGATGTCAACATGACTGTTTAGAAACCAACTACAAATTCACACAATAAACCAAGATAATTTTGCTCCATGAAAGGACCGCCCTCCCAACTCATTATGCCCTCCTAGGCCAGGATCTTTAAGTAAAAGTCTTTGAACTTGTTTCCTATTGTGGATTAAATGTGCACCTTCCACCTGAAGAACTAGGGGCTGCCCCAGGCTGGGTTTTCCCCATGACACCAGGGACAACGCAAGGTTGAGCAATCAGCACCAGAGCTGTGGTAAGGCAGGCAGACACTGGACAGGGATCAGACAAGAGCCCCAAGAACATCTGCCAGTATCAGCAGGTTTCTCACCTGAAGAACACATGTGCATAGGTTGGACAACTAGGCATTTGGCTGCCCAGCAGGTAAAAGAAGTATCCCATGGGAGGTACTGTGTAACTACCACGTCCAGCTCGCCTTCATCTCCTGTTAGCTAGCTGTTCATCTCCTGTTAGCTAGCTGTTCATCTCCTGTTAGCAGGGCTGCTAGCTGCTCTGCTGCTGGAACCTCAGTTTACCCGGGGGCTCTGAAAACACCTGGCTAGAACTTGGGCTTGAACACAGTCTGGCTGCAGAGTTAGAGTTTATATAGCATGCTGGTAACTTGTTTTCTGGACTCTGAAGCATTTAGATCCAGTTTATGAGATATGAAGAAGCCTACGTTCCTCCTTTCTTCCACCCACATCATCAGATAAACAGAGACAGAACTGAGCTCAATTAAATCACCTGCAGTCTATTCTGGGAGAGAGTATGCATAAGAAATAACAGGCATGGCTATGAGAGACTTTAGAACATCATTGATAAGAAACTATGTGGGCATTAGGTAGAGGCTCAACCCTCAATCCCAAAACGGGTCTGATAGTATTCCAGCTAAACTCTGGTCCCGCCCAAGTGAAGTCAGATCAAATAAAAACAATATGATAGAGATATAGTGTGTGTTTTTCTAAAACGATTATTTTAACACTAGGACTTAAATGATGTTGTGAATGTCCGCTGGTGGGTCATGATACTAGATTCTCTTATGCACTGATAAAAAATTCAAAAATGCACACATTGTTTATGTATTTTACAGGAAGCCAACAGACAATTCCAGAAACTAATATTCTAATGTGTTAATGATTAATTTTCTAGCAACCTTATATAATTTGTCTTTAAAAGTGACTAATATTAGATATTTTAAAACTGAAATTACTGTATAACTAGAATTTCCTCAAGATTATAATTTAGTATTCTAACAAAAAAATGGTTGCCATGCAACACTTTGTCTGTAATATTGCATACTTCCTACTGTGCATACATAATCAAAGATAATTGGGATTCTCATAATTTTGTTCTGAAGCACGTCATCTGCACTGTCTTGAGTTTCTTGAGAATTTTTATTGTTGCTATTTTGGTAGTCATTAACACATATGGTAGATTATGGTTAGGTTTAATTTTGTTGATCATCTTCTTCTTGTACCATTACTGTTTTGTTTTTTTTTTTAACAAAGGCTCTCTGTCCCATTCATTTTTTTCCTATGTCTGCGTCATTATTGAGTTACCTTTTTTTTTTTTTTTTGAGACAGAGTCTCTCTCCGTCTCCCAGGCTGGAGTGCAGTGATGCGATCTCGGCTTACTGCAACCTCCGCCTCCTGGGTTCAAGCAATTCTCCTGCCTCAACCTCCCGAGTAGCTGGGATTACAGGTGTGCACCACCACACGGGGCTAATTTTTGTATTTTTAAGGGAGATGGGGTTTCACCATGTTGGCCAGGCTGGTCTTGAACTCCTGACCTTGTGATTCACCTGCTTTGGCCTCCCAAAGTGCTAGGATTATAGGCATGAGCCACCACGCCCAGCCTGAGTTACTGTTTTTTATTTTTCCCTCCTTCATCAAAATTGGAAAAGGGTAGAGATGGTAATCATGGGATCTTATAGTAGCCTAAGTGGTCTATAGATCAGATAAAAAGGAGAAATACTGTGCAGTTGACATAAAAGAAAGTGTGACATCGCTACTTTAAATAAAGGCAATTCAAACCAGTGGCATTGTTGTTGTCAATTTGTCAAAAATACGTAATACATTTGCAAGACAAGCGGAAATGCAAGAGAAAAAAAGGCGTAAAATCTTGATGATTTTAGTTCTATGTGGGTTACTGATTTTGTGTTTCATTTCATTTTTTCTTGATCTGATATTGTTGTGTCTATTTAAGACACAACTGTCCAGCGTTAAGAAGGCTGGCATCGATTCCCGCCTCTACAGCAGAGTGTCTTTGCAACTGGATAAATAACTTCCCCGCTCCTCAGCTGTCTTACATTTCAAACGCGGACAACAATGAAACTTGCTACAGACGGTTATTATGAGGATTGTCTTAGTCCATTTGTGCTCCTATAACAAAATACTACAAACTGTGTAATTTATACAGGGCAGAAACATACTTCTTACAGTTCTGGATGCTGGAAGTCCAAGACCAAGGCGCTGGCAGGTTTGGCGTCTGGTGAGGGCTGCTCTCTTCTTCCAGGACAGTGCCTTACTCCTGCGTCCTCCACGGGGAGTGATGATGGCTGCTTCCTCACCTGGCAGAAGGTTGGAGGGTGAACTCTCTGAATGCTATGGGAGCTGCTTTTATAAGGGCCTTAATTCCACTCACAAGCCAGGAGCCCTCATGGCTAAATTACCTCTTAATTGTTCCACCTGTTAATACCACATTGGCAACACCTGAATTTCAAAGGGGCCACATTCAAATCATAGCAAGAAGGAAATGATTCAATGCCCATAAAGCATTTAGGTCTGGCACGTAGTAGATTCTCATACCATGCCAAGCACAACATCTTCCTCTTATTACCCTCAGTTTCCATATCTAGGAAAGCACCTTCTCCATTCCTAACCTGCGTCCATTCACTCATGTGATATGGTTTGGCTGTGTCCGCACCCAAATCTCAACTTGAATTGTATCTCCCAAAATTCCCACGTGTTGTGGGAAGAACCTAGGGGAGGTAATTAAATCATGGGGGCTGGTCTTTCCCATGCTATTCTCATGATAGCTAATAAGTCTCATGAGATCTGATGGGTTTATCAGGGGGTTCCGCTTTTGCTTCTTCCTCATTTTTCTCTTGCCACTGCCATGTAAGAAGTGCCTTTTGCCTCCCACCATGATTCTGAGGCCTCCCCAGCCATGTGGAATTTTAAGTCCAGTTAAACCTCTTTTTCTTCCCAGTCTCAGGTATGTCTTTATCAGCAGCGTGAAAACGCATTATTACAGTAAATAGGTACCAGCAGAGTGGGGCATTGCTGAAAAGATATCCAAAAATGTGGAAGCAACTTTGGAACTGGGTAACAGGCAGAGCTGGGAACAGTTTGGAGGGCTCAGAAAAAGACAAGAAAATGTGGGAAAGTTTGGAACCTCCTTGTTGAATGGCTTTGGCAAAAATGGATATTGATATGAACAATAAGGTCCAGGCTGAGGTCGTCTCAGATGGAGATGAGGAACTTGTTGAGAATTGGAACAAAGGTGACTCTTGTTATGTTTTAGCAAAGAGACTGGTGGCATTTTGCTTCTGCCCTAGAGATTTGTGGGACTTTGAACTTGACAGAGATGATTTAGGGTATCTGGCAGAAGAAATTTCTAAGCAGCGAATCTCTCAAAATGTGACTGGACTGGTGTTAACAGCATTCCATTTTAAAAGGGAAACAGTACATAAAAGTTCAGAAAATGTGCAGCCTGACAATGCAGTAGAAAAGAAAAACCCATTTTTTGAGAAGAAATTCAAGCCAGCTGCAGAAATTTGCTTAAGTGGCAAGAAGCCTAATGTTTATCCCCAAGACCGTGGGGACGATGTCTCCAGACCATGTCAGAGACTTTCACAGCAGCCCCTCCCATCACAGGCCCAGAGACCCGGGAGGAAAAAGTGGTTTCGTGGGCCAGTCCCAGGGTCCTCATGCTGTGTGCAGCCTAGGGGCTTGGTGCTCTGTGTCCCAGCCACTCCAGCCATGGCTGAAAAGGGCCAAGGTACAGCTCAGGCTGTGGCTTCAGAGGGTGCAAGCCCCGTGCCTTCACAGCTTCCATGTGATGCTGAGCCTGCTGGTGCACAGAAGTCAAGAATTCAGGTTTGGGAACCTCCGCCTGGATTTTAGAAGATGTAAGGAAACTCCTGGATGCCCAGGCGAAAGTTCGCTGCAGGGGTGGGGCCCTCATGTAGAACCTCTGCTAGAGTAGTACAGAAGAGAAATGTGGGATCAGAGCCCCCGCACAGAGTCCCTACTGGGGCACTGCCTAGTGGAGCTGTGAGAAGAGGGCCACTGTCCTCCAGACCCCTGAATGGTAGATCCACTGACAGCTTGCATCATGTACCTGGAAAAGCCACAGATATTCAATACCAGCCCATGAAAGCAGCCATGTTGGAGGCTGTACCTTGCAAAGCCACAGGGGTGGAGCTGCCCAAGACCATGGGAACCCACCTCTTGCATCAGTGTGACCTGTATGTGAGACCTGGAGTCAAAGGAGATCACTGTGGAGCTTTAAAATTTGAATACTCCCACTGGATTTTGGACTTGCATGGGCTGTTTGTTTTGGCCAATTTCACACCTTTGTTTTGTCCAATTTCTCCCATTTGGAATGGCTGTATTTACCCAATACCTGTTCCTTCATTGTATCTAGGAAGTAACTAGCTTGCTTTTGATTTTGCAGGCTCATAAGCGGAAGGGACTGGCTTTGTCTCAAATAAGACTTTGGAGAATTCCCACGTGTTGTGGGAGGGATCGAGGGGGAGGTAATTGAGTTATGGGGGCCAGTCTATCTTGTGCTCATCTTGTGATAGTGGATAAGTCTCAAGAGATCTGATGGGTTTATCAGAGCTTACCGCTTTTGCGTCTTCCTCACTTTTCTCTTGCTGCTGACATGTAAGAAGTACCTTTTGTCTCCTGCCATGATTCTGAGGCCTCCCCAGCCATGTGGAACTGTAAGTCCAATTAAACCTCTTTTTCTTCTCAGTCTCGGGTATGTCTTTATCAGCAGCATGAAAACAGACTAATACATTCATGCATCAGGGATTTAACAGGCATGTTCTGTGTACCTAGCAACTCATGAACTGACTTATTAGGGGCATGGGAGTGTTAAATTGGTGAAAAGGGAAAAGAAGCGGCATGCGTGTATTTTCCATTCTCACACTGCTATAAAGAACTGCCTGAGACTGGGTAATTTATGAAGAAAAGAGGTTTAGTTGAGTTGACTCACAGTTTTGCAGGCTGTACAGGAAGCCTGACTGGAAGGCCTCCGGAAACTCACAATCATAGCAGACGTCAAAGGGAAAACAATCACCTCCTTCACATGCCAGCAGGAGAGAGAAAGAGTGAAGGGGGAGGTGCCATATACTTTTAAACCGCCAGATCTCATGAGAAGTCACTCACTGTCACTAGAACAGCAAGGGAAAATCTGCCCTCATGATCCTATCACTTTCCACCAGGCCCTTCCTCCAATTTGACATGAGATGTGGGCAGGGACACAAATCTAAACCATATAATGTCTGATAAAACTCACTTTATATATGTCAGAAGAACTCAAAACTTGTGGAAAAATACAAATAGTCCTGTGTTGTGGCAATTATCTCAGGCAACTTTGCTCTAAATTTCAGAGAAAGGCCAGGTTGGAAGAATCTTTCATGCCTTGCCAACTAGTGTTTTGTTTATCCAAAAGGTATTGGACACTGTTGGAGAGTTGTAAACATCAGATGAATTCAAATTCTACACAGGATCCCCTAGTTACTGTGTGCAAAACAGATTTGTGGCCATTTAATTAATATTTGAGAAAAAGATTTACAGTGTTCAGAAGAGGCTAGTGAAGGTTAGTCAACAGGATAGCATTCAGGATGTAGGGTAGTCTGGGTGATATGAAAACTTGGTGAATGCTGATTCCTCCAAGATAAAGAATCTAGAAGGTGGAGAGGGTGGCATAAGAGGAATAAATGTTGTGTTTGAAATGCAGTATGTTTAGTGTCTGTCGAAGTTCAAGGAAGGGCCTACAAATATTACAGTTACACTTTTTAAAAGATATGACAAACATTTACAGTCATCAGCATAAAGATGCACTTAAAATCATAAAATGGGTGAGATCTTTGAGAAAATAGAAGGATGTGCATAGAACACAGATAATTTTCTGAAAACACCAACATTTAAAAGCCAGAAAGGGGAACAGGAAGCAGGCAACACTGGCTCTAGAGGTAGAAATCAAGATGGAAAAAGTTACCCCACTCTTCATAAGGTCATATGAAGTCAAATAATCCATATATCAGTTTTGTTTTTGTTTTTGTTTTTTTTTTGAGATGGAGTCTCCTTCTGTCGCCCAGGCTGGAGTGCAGTGGCTCGATCTCTGCTCACTGCAAGCTCCGCCTCCCGGGTTCACGCCATTCTCCTTCCTCAGCCTCCGGAGTAGTTGGGACTACAGGCGCCCACCACCATGCCCGGCTAATTTTTTTTGCATTCTTGGTAGAGATGGGGTTTCACCGTGTTAGCCAGGATGGTCTCGATCTCTTGACCTTGTGATCCGCCACCCTTGGCCTCCCAAAGTGCTGAGATTACAGGCTTGAGCCACCGTGCCCAGCCCCACGTATCAGTTTTAAAGACGATTAGATAAAGAAGAAAGAAAAAGAATTTCATTGTCATGCTACACTGAGTTGTATATTTTCATGATTCATTAAATATCATGTCTTGCAATTTTATAAGTAGGTTCCAATCACATGATTATATTTTAATGACCACACATTATGCTATAGAAAATTATTTTATTCAATAACTCCTTTTAAGAGAGCTTAATTTTTATGTTATTTATTATAAATAATAACCTGAGATACACGCATGTGTGACTGCCCGCACGCGTGCACACACATGCACAGACACATGTTCTGGGTTATTTAGACATACACACACACATTTTGGATTATTTAATTACCAGATGTCTGTTTACTCTATAAAACTGAAGCAGTATTTCATACTTCCTTCAGAAGTATGAAAGTCAATCAATTCTGATGAGCTTATAAAACAATTGATCAGGGTCACACATAAGATTTTACTAAAAACCTTGTGAAGGTTATTCTGATGTTTCGTCATTATCAAGAGTCTCTGATATGGGATATATGGAGGTTTTAAAGCTATAGCTATAAATTGTCAAATTGTATACAAAATGTTCTTTTATTTTTTAATGATATTCTCATTTTACATGGTAAAGGACCCAGACCTTTGGACTTTTCTATCTCTCTTCATTATCTGTTGTTCTTTTCAAAAATCACCCAATTGTAAAATAGGATAGGACACCGATGGAAGACAGAAAACATTGTACCTCCATGTTATTTTTCTTTGTTGTTTCCCTCAAAGTTGATACATGGTTTAGTATAAGGTGGCACATTTCTACCTTCATGTTTATAGAATTATCTGGTCTAGTGTACTAAAAAAAGCAACGGTAGATTTGTTTGTAGTTCATCTCTGTTTTGTAAGTTTTGTTTGAGGGAATTTATTCGCTATGATGATAAATGCTGTCTGGTAGAAAAGAGTGCATTATATACAGAAAGTCAGGGTTAGAACACCTGTTGGGTAGGCCCTTCTCTATCTGTGACACTGGCCAAGTCGTTTAACCAAATGGCAAAAGAAGAAACTGGAGTTGTTTAAAATCCCATTTAGGGAATTAGACTCAGTGATCAGACTATTGTGTGACCAAAAGCGAAAATGAATGAGGAATTCTTTTGAATGTTTCAAGACCTACTAACAAAGAAGTTTATGTTTAGATGTCCACATGCAATGTTTTAAAAAGATTAAACATTTCCACAGATACTCAAAATGTGCTTTTATGCTTTCTAAATGAGAAATTTAATATCCTTACTTCTCTTCTTTCAAATAAAATGATTTCCAATGTGCCTCAAAAGATAAAAACTTACAACATACTGAATCAACCTAAATATTCATTTTATAAAACAAATATGTATTAAATATTCTTTGTACTTAATATTTATTAAATGTCTATTGTATAGCCAGACTGCTTAAACTGCTATATATGCAGTAATGGCAGAAAAAAGAAAGATAGTCATCCATTCACTACGCAGGGGCTATATGTAAAGATGGCCAGAATACTACCTCACTTGACTTTCTTCATTTATTAAAGGAGTCCGTTAGTGCTGCTCAGAAAAAGGGTACCTAGGGCATTGTACATAACACATTATACCCTGAGATGCCTTATTGCTCTAACTGTCCTAGAAACAGGGGTCAGGGAAAGAAGAGTCCTAGACACAGTGGAGATCAAAGCTTCTCCCAGACTCCAACAGTTCAGCCTTAGAACATCAGAAAGTTGAGGCAAGAAAAAAGCCCCTCATGATGGGTTCTGTAACACACAGCTCTACGAGTGAGTATAAAATGGTAGAAGACAAAGGAACGTTATCAAAGAAAAACTGCTCTCTGAAACCAAGAGTTCTAGTTGAGCACATATACTCCTTCTCTTTCATCAGATCTGGGCTCATGTTTCTGAGAATACAGACTGCATTTCCCAGTCTCCACTGCAGTTGGGTGTAGTCATGAGGCTATCTTATGGTGAATGAGATGTAAACCCAAGGCTCTTGGGGCATCTTCCAGGACATCTCATTCACAGGCCAAGTGATGTAGCATTTGACTATTCTTCACCACCACTCTTGCCTTCCTGGGGGATGAAAGCTGGAGCAGTTATCTTGGACTAGGACAGGAAGTTTGAAATAAAGCCTGTGTTGCCAGGTGCAGTGACTCACGCCTATAATCCCAGCACTTTGGGAGGCCAAGCTGGGTGGATCACTTGAGCTCAGGAGTTCAAGACCAGCCTGACCAACATGGTGAAACACCATCTCTACTAAAAAAATACAAAAATCAGTTGGGTGTGGTGGCACGTGCCTGTAATCCCAGCAACTTGGGAGACTGAGTTAGGAGAATCACTTGAACCCAGGAGGCAGAAGTTGCAGTGAACAGAGATTGCGCCATTGCACTCCAGCAGCCTGGGCAACAAGAGCGAAACTCCATCTCAAAAAAAAAAAAAAAAATGAAGTGACAGTTGTGGTGGGTAGAATAATGACACCTCAAAGATGTCCACATCCTAGTCCATGAAGTCTGTGAATAGGTTAGGTTACTTTACATAGAAAAAGGTACTTTACAGGTGTAATTAAAACTGAGGGCTATAATCCTGGATTATTTTGGTGGGCCCAATATAATTGCAAGAGTTCTTATAAGAGAGAAGGATGAG
Organism: Homo sapiens; assembly: GCF_000001405.40. Classification (NCBI taxonomy): domain Eukaryota; kingdom Metazoa; phylum Chordata; class Mammalia; order Primates; family Hominidae; genus Homo; species Homo sapiens. The sequence goes on along the minus strand of NC_000008.11, from coordinate 137,610,724 downwards.
GTTCAGAGTCAGAGAAAAAGCAATATGAGGACAGAAACAGAAAGAGAAAAATTGGAAGAGGCTCCACTGATGATTTGAAGATGGAGAAGGAGGCCATGAGGAATCCAGGCTGCCTCTGGAAGCTAGAAAAGGAAAGAATTAGGGAATCTGCCCTTGCTGACCCATTTTCGACTTCTGGCCTCCAGAGTTGTAAGAGAATATATTTATGTTGTTTTAAGCCACTTTATGTTTGTGGCAATTTGTTACATCATCTTAATACAGAGGCCATGCCTGGTGAGGCAATGACAGAAGGAGCTGGGCCCTGAGGATTCACTGGAACACAACTACTATTCAGGCCAATATTGCCTGCTCCCAGAATTTTACACTTAAGAGAAATACACTTATAACATATATATTTAAGTTTTTTTGATCTATGGTCCTTTTTATCAAATTCAATTCTAACCATTTTTTTTTTGCCCAAGATGAAATGAAATATCATTCAAAAACTCAGATATAGAACATGGTTTTCAAAATTTTGTATTCTACAAGAACCCAAAGAAAAAAGAATAAACTACTTGACTTCTTCAATAGAAAAGAAACAAACATGCGATGTTTGGTTTTTTGTCCTTGCGATAGTTTGCTGAGAATGATGGTTTCCAGGAAGGGGGACATCACACACCAGGGCCTGTTGTGGGGTGGGGGGAGGGAGGAGGGATAGCATTAGGAGATATACCTAACGTAAATAACGAGTTAATGGGTGCAGCACACCAACATGGCACATGTATGCATATGTAACAAACCTGCACCTTGTGCACATGTACCCTAGAACTTAAAGTATAATAATAAAAAAAAAATAAAAATAAAAGGCAAAAAAAAAAGAAAAGAACCAAAATAGAAATAAAAAGATATTGGGTCTTGTATACAGTCACGCATTACTTAATGGTGGGGATACATTCTGAGAAATGTGTCATCCGGCAATTTTGTCATCGTGAGAACATCACTGAGCGTGCTTACACAAACCAAGATGGTAGAGCCTACTACACACCTAGGTTATACTGAATAGTCTATTGCTCCTGAGCTGCAAATCTGTACATCATGTGACTCTACTGAATACTGTTGGCAATTGTAACTCAGTGGTAAGCATTTGTGTATCGAAACACATCTAAGCACAGAAAAGGTACAGTAAAAATACAAAATTATAATTGTATAGGACCACCATGGTATATGCAATTTGTCATCGACTGAGTCATTATGGGACATGTGACTGTACATAAAAGAAGTGAATGGGCCGGGCGCAGTGTCTCACGCCTGTAATCCCAACACTTTGGGAGGCCAAGGGGGGCAGATTGCTTGAGGTCAGGAGTTCAAGACCAGCCTGGTTAACAGCAAAACCCCGTCTCTACTAAAAAAAATACAAAAGTTAGCCAGGCATGGTGGCACGTGCCTGTAATCCCAGCTACAGGCAGGAGAATCCCTTGAATCTGGGAGGTAGAGGTTGCAGTGAGCCAATATTGCACCACTGTGCCACTGCACTGCAGCCTGGGGGACAGAGAGAGACTTCATCTGAAAAAAAAAAAAAAAAAAAGAAATGAATGAAAAGGAGGCATTTGAGATGAAGGTAATGGGAAGAGATAAATGGGAAATGTTTGGAACTGGAGTGATTTTTAAAAACATGAAATCATGATATATATTAAAGGCAGTAAATATTTGAAAATGCCCTGGAATCAGTGATAACTAGGGTATAATTAAGGTGCATTCATCTCATATAGAAGGAACTGAAAAAGAGATAAGAAGTTGAAAAGGGAATGAAGATGGAAGGTATAGTTGAGTCGATAATGAAGATCAAACCTAACCTGCAAACTCTGGCACTTTCCTGGCTGGAAAGGAAGAGGAACAAACATTATGGTTGTAAAAAATGACAAACATTCTCTATGCAGAAAAGAAAGTTTTGTTCATAGAGACCATCTAGATAGAAATGGCTCATGATGCCTGATGCGAAAATAATGAAGAGAAATTCTCATTCAGAATAATGCTAAAGCTCTTAAAACCACATAGGGAAAATAAGCCTAAGAATCCATGCCATAAAGAAATGTATTTAACTTTATTTTAAACAAGGAGGCTCCCTCTCTTGGATCCACCTCTCAATATCCTGTGTATATTTTCCCCTAAATTCCAGTAAAGGAAGAGCTGACTTCATGAGTGTCTCTACCAATGACAGCTCATCCAGTACTTAACAGTGTGCAGACACTTTCCATCTTTTGCTTGTGAGTCTTGCAAATATATATATACACAGAGAGAGAGAAAAAAGAGTAGGAGATGAGAGGAAGATTTACAGTCAGCACTAAAAGATAACAAAGCCAGACTTTTACCAAGTTTGGGAAATAACCCTAATGGAATCCTACTAATCAAAGTAGCCAACTATTATTTACCTGATTGCCGATGGTATAGAGCTGGTACTATCTATCTATCTATCTATCTATCTATCTATCTATCTATCTATCTATATCTATCCCTCTCTCTCTCTCTCTCTCTGTGTATATATATATATACACACACACACACACACACACACACACACAGAGCCAGTATATATATATATACACACACACATACAGAGCCAGTATATATATACACACACACACACACACACACACACACACACACAGAGCCAGTATATATATATACATTCTATTCATGTATGTATTTATTTCTGCTGAGGAACCTTAGGCGATGAGAGCTCAGATGATTTCCCTGAGGTCACATTTCTAACTCAGATTTCTCTAACATCAAAGCCCATGTTATAACAAGTTCCCTATACTTCTTTAAGTGACCCAATATGTATAGGCTATATTTATAAACCATAAAGTGTTTAAACTGTTAGACCATATAGTCATTAAGTTTTCTAATATTATCAATCAATTATCTTTTTTTGTCAGCTTTCTAAAAATCAATTGAGCTGCTTATTTGTTCTTAAGGATGCATGGATCTCAAAGTACTTCCTGAAGGAATGGGAGAAAAGCAACAATACGGTTCATAACAGGGAGAAACCAGTCTATGCTATTTTTATTAGAGTGGGGCAATCATTAGGCCCCCAGGAAAAAAGAGTAGGAGATGAGAGAAAGATTTACAGTCGGTGCTAAAAGATAACAAAGCCAGACTTCTACCAAGTTTGGGAAATAACCCTAATGGAATCCTACTAATCAAAGTAGTCAACCATTAATTTACCTGATTGCTGATGGTACAGAGCCAGTACTAATGGAGAGACAATTGTGTGTCTGAAACCAAAACAAACTTTACGGGAAAGAGACAGCATTTATTCTCCAGATATATATAGTACACTCATTCCACAAATACTGACACATATGTGAGCACTCATGTATTTATTCAGCACAGACTAAGGGTGTCAATTGTAATAATGATCTTCTATAGACCAAGAATCATGTCTTTTCATTCTTGTATTTTCAGGTTTTAAACTGAGTTCAATAATACAGGTTTTATAAGTGTTTTTGAATGGCCACTGTGTCTCAAATTGAATAGATATTTTCTTATCAAATCACTTCCACTCTCTAAGTTGTGTATTTCTTATAAGAAATTTGGGACTTAGAGAGGTTAACATAATTGGCCAGATTTGACGTGCAAGGGTATTACTTGTGAGTCCTTGTTGGAAGGAGTAGAAAGCTATTCCAGTTAGCTTAAGCAAACGATAGGCAACTCATAAATATAAGGTAGTGTCAACTGGAATCCAAGGACACAGTGACAGGAGGACTGTAGACACATGATCTGAAGAGATTCTCCTCTATGTTTTTGTCTAAACATCTGCCTGAACATGTTTCTTTCTTAGGCTAGAGGATGACCATGTTTTGGCTTTCAAGTTTTGTTTTGATTTCAAATTTCCCAGGAGATAAATCCCATTAGGCCTATCTTATGTGAGGTGCCTCTTTCTCTTCATATAAGGGACTCTGCTTCCTGCAGTTGAGTGGCAGGCACAAGATCCTGTCTGGCAAGACAATGTGCCCTACCATCAGGGATGCACTGACCACTTCCAAGGTGGGTATGTGAGGTTCTGCAGGTGTGACTCAGAAAGACGGGTCGGGATCACCATGCAAAAAACTCTCTATATCTGAGTTTGTAAGCAGCACACATCTAGTGATCATGACACAGATTAGAGCCATCTTTATTACCATAAGGGGTTCCACAGAGTATGGCCAGGCCAGAAGAAGTTAAAATTGTAGAGAAAGAGATTCACAGGAGTTTTTGGGTGATGTCCAGCTACAACTGGAAACAGTCCTACACATATAATTTTCATGTTTTGTTGTTGTTTGTAGTGGTGTTTTTGCAACAGCTAAATTTCTGTTACTTGAAAGCAAAAGAATCCCGGCTGATAAACTAAGTCTGCCTGGTTCCACAGCCAAGTTCTTCCTATCTCTTGTCTCTGTGAACAATGTGTAGTGAAAGAAGATCAAGTACAGATAACGGTAAATCACAGGGAACAATGGTGATAAGGGTTGGAAATTTCAAGCCTCCTTGGTTAAAACAAAGCCTAGAAACATCCTCAAATGAATCTCAGTCAAGCCACTTTCCACCTCTGTTCATGTCTCACCTCATCACCTTATTAACACCATTGCACTGTTTCAGAAGAATCATCTTACCTCTAAAACATTTAACTCAATATTGAGCATGCATTCTGGTTTTCATTTCTTTCTTAGTGTACCTCCTTATTGCTTCTGGGACATATCCATTGCATCCTTTTCTCATGCCCCGTGTGAGAAGCTACTACCAGTCAGAGGTATTTGATAAGATTTGAAGTTGGTACTAGAAATGATAAGAGCCAATCCCTTTCTAGTGACAACTCTTGGAGATGAGCTGCTGGAAATCCCAGTGGAGAAAAGTGGGTGGAGGAAATGAAGCTGAGGTCTTAAGACAACCGGAAAGGAGGATGAGTTAACAAGTGAATCCTGGAGGTGTTTGCTGTCACTCCTGAACTCAGCTGCTGAACCTCTCCCTTCTAGATAGAAGAGAACACGTTCTCCTTTTAGCCTATGCTAGTTAGAATTGGTTATGCATCACTGGCATCCAAAGATGTCCAAAAGGGATATGGTTATTTCTTAGTTGAGCTGAGACAACAAAAGCTGTTCTTATTGAAATAGCACCCTATCTTCAGAACCTCAGGCTGCTCTCCTCTCCACCAAATGTTCATTCGCTGCTAAGGTTCCCACCACGCATTGGTTTTAGTCTATGTCGGGGGGCCATTGCTAGTGGCTTACCCCAGGCAGGTTGTACGGCAGCCCCTAAAGTGTCCTCAAGCTTACACAGATAGACTGACTCTGTCATTGAGAGGGGCCAGAGAATTCAGCATCTTCATCCTAAAAAGGTACATCATTATGAGAACACGTGGCCAATTTGGCTATGATTATATCTTACAATGTTATATTTGTGGTTAGAATAATTTGGTTTTGAAAAGAAAGGAGGATAAGCACAGCATAATCTATGTGCTCAAATTGTTTTTCAGTCACCCAGCTTGCTTGGGAAACAACTATGCAGACTATGATGTTCTGTGTCAATGCCTGGACATCATGAAATTGCTCAACAAGAAGTCACCTCCACATTCATCCTGTTTGACTTCTATACTTCATGCCTCATGCAGGAATTTTTCTACTATAATTCCGGAATGTGTTTTCTCTGTCTTCACTTGAATGCTCCAAAGTACGTTATTGTTTCAGACAGAAGTACATTTGCTCATAAGACGGCCTAAATTCATGTATGACTTGCCATTATTTAGATTAGAGCTATTGACCTTAGCTATTTCTTCTAGGAAAAGATAGAACAATTCTAAATAGGTTTGAAAACACCTTCCATGGTCAGCTGCCCACCATCCACCTATCTTCACTCCAAGTTGTTTTATCTTGTCCAGTCTGATAATCTCCTTCAACGATTTTGTTTATTAGTGGTTCCCAGATAAAGACAACCAGTGATCATCAAAATCTCCAGGGATATATAGATATACACATATAAATACATCCTCCCAGACATAATAAAGCCAGTTGTTTAGCTGATGATTTACTGCATTATAAAAAAGATATCCCCTGTGTGATCCTGGCTCATATCTAATTTAGAATTAACAACAGATTAGTATAACACAACCTAGAGTGCACAGATGTACTTATTTTCTTCTGGCCTGATTTCTTTGGGCAGATGTACCTGTGTGTTGGTGTCCCATCAAGGCAATTTCTCTTTCTCCTTGTCTGTAAAGAGTACCTGTGTCTTAAGGCTGCTGTGAGGATTATGCACTTAGAGTGGCTCCTGCCATATGAGAAATGTTTAATGAACATATCCTCCTACTCTCTAGCATTAACCATTGTTGGTAATTGGCCCTCAGTCTTTCTGCTTACTATGGCTTCATCCAATTGCTTTTACTCATCTTCAAAGAAAGGATAACATAAGGAGTCTGTTCCTTCCTGGGATGCCAAAGTTTCAACATTTGAGAAAACAGTCCCCGCTTTGCCACAAGTCTTTTCTGGTGTTGTTTCTAAAATAAAATCAACTAGAATAAATAAGGGGAGTAGAGACAAACATTTATTGAGTTCCTGCATGGTTGGATGCAGCACTCTTTTTATCTTTCTAATGTATTTATTTTCTCATTTAGTTCTTATAAACACCAAATGAAATAACTACAATAACAATTCAGAAAAAATAAGTCAAAGAGAAGTAAATTTCCAGATTTTTGATTCAGGTCTGCCTGACTGTCGCACCCCGGATCCTTCTTTTACGTTGTGAAAGGAATCAACAGGCCAGGCTCATCACCACCGGCACCGTCCCATTCATCACAGACACACGTGCGCGCACGAGCCTGTGCAAGGCCCATTTAAAAACTCATTTCAACTGCGGAGAAACATAATGGGTACGGAAGAGGTCAATTCAGGCAAACAGATGAGGCAAGCATTGCCTGTGATATTTTAAGATGATAATTAATCACCCTTAATATCGCAACCATCTAAATATTGCAGACATTTGCTCTCTATCCTTATCTAATTCTGATTACTTCTCATAAAGAGATTCATTTTGAAAATGACCATTTCCTTAATGTAGTGGAAATACATTTTCAATTTTCTATCTGCTTCAAACATATCTCCAATGAATCTGAGATTTAATTTAGTCAGTAAGTTGCTGAATGGGGCAACCAAGATGAATGGATTGAATAAAACAGTTCCATCATCATTCTTTTCTTCTGCTCTAATTATTAGAATTAGTCATAAGATATCTGCACATGTAAAAAATTAACATGGGGAAATTTGCTCCGGGCCAAAAAGAAATCAGGCAAGGTATAAATAGAAACTGGCAGTGGCATGAAAGCTCCTATAGCATTGATAAATTTCCATGAGGACATGAAAGCAATACTTAAGAGTCAGAAACGTGTGCTTCCAGTTCAATCCTGTCCACAAAGCAACGCCTTCCCCCAAATCTGTGCTTGCTGAAACGCTACCACTCCTTCTATCTCCTTTCAAATGCTACTTCCTCCAAGAAGCTGGCTCAGATTCTCCTCAACTGAATGTGACTCCACGTGTTTTTAAAGACATACACGTATTATGCTTGCTTGTGTTGCAGTCCTTCTTTGCTAGCCCAATTAATCAGTGTTACGATCATCTCTCCCACGACATTGCTTTGTGCATGAAAAGCATGTGTTATTCAGCTTTGCCTATGTCAGAGCCCAGCAATGTATAGTAGTTCTGTCAGTCGGTGATGGTTGAATTTTTCTGTCCAGACGTTTTCACCCCATCTGCCTATCTGAGCCACAGATTGCTACATGTTCAATCCTCCTAATAATAAAACCAAAAACCCAACAAACAAAAATGAGGACTATCACAATAAAGGTGCAATCAAAACTTTTCGCTAGATTTCCAGAACTCCAAAATCAAATGTCAATCTAGAATTCGCCAAATTTTTCTATAAAGGGCCAGAAAACAAATATTTTTGGCTTTGTGGACCTTAGGGCTTCTGTTGCAACTAGTCTATTCTGCTGTTATAGCATGAAAGGGGACATAAATCATCCATAAACAATTGAGTATGGCTGGAATCCAATAAAACTTTATTCACAAAAGCAGACAGTTGGCTGGATTTCACCTGCAGGCTCACACTTGCCAACACCTGATTTTTAGTTCAAGGATGTTTAATCATTTTTGGTCTGTGGAGCTTTCTCTTCCAATAAAATCTTAAATGATTCTCATCATATTCACATAATAAATGCTGCAAGCAATGAGACATCATTTTATCAGTCTCAAGTTGTCTATCTCCAATCCTTAATTCTTTCAGTTCCCTCTACCTGCACAGCCCTGTCTCCTTGCTTTTTAAGCATAAACAAGAACATCCCTGAGAAATCTTTCCTTATTCATTCAGTTAAATTAGATTGTGATTTAAAAACAAAAAAGTTCTCCCATAGTGTATTACTCTGGCTTCCCCGATTCTTTGCATATAGTCATATATTTATCTCAAATATACGGCCCCCTCCTAGTCGTCAGCCTTCAGAAGCGAAGCTCACTGCTTGCATCTGTTGGACGTTTATTTCTTGAATTCAACTTTAATTGCTATTCATCCTATATGCTCAGATGAGGTGTCCCTTTCACAAAGACTTCTGCGTGTCTTCCAATTGTAGAGAAAGAGATCTACTTGGTGTCAAACAGATACGAGTTAACTCTGGCTATTGTGGAGGCTTGGGAAAGTTTTTGAAGCTCTCCTTTCTTCATGGTATTTTCACACATAGACAAGATTACCCAGTGCCTAGCACATGCAATAAATATGTGCTCTATGAACAGCTGAATGCTGCTTATATTAATTATAATGGCATATCCAATGAATCCATTTACATGAAGAATGTAACCCACAGAGAAGCATATAATATATGCAAAATTAATGGTTATCAGTGTTAAACTTACTATTATTTCCCCACCTGTAATATACTTCTTCATCCTCTAAATGTCAGATCGCTTTGTCTATACTTTGGTGTTCATCACTTTCTTTTTGGCATTCCAATCTTTAAACTCATAACCTTATAATCTCTCAATGACTTAAAGCACTTAAAGATGGGATCTTTTTTTTTTTAAGTGCCAATGGTGTGGTCACCAATGTTTTCTTTTTCTTTTTTTTTTTTTAATTATACTTTAAGTTTTAGGGTACATGTGCACAATGCACAGGTTTGTTACATATGTATACATGTGCCGTGTTGGTGTGCTGCACCCATTAACTCGTCATTTAGCATTAGGTATATCTCCTAATGCTATCCCTCCCCCCTCACCCCACCCCACAACAGGCCTCGGTGTGTGATGTTCCCCTTCCTGTGTCCATGTGTTCTCATTGTTCAATTCCCACCTATGAGTGAGAATATGCCATGTTTGGTTTTTTGTCCTTGCGATAGTTTGCTGAGAATGATGTATTCTAAAGCATTTAGAGCAATCCCAGGCACAGCTCGAGGACTCAATTAATGTGTTTAGTAGAAATTAATGAATCAATGGATCCATCATCATTTAAATTCATCAAGCAAGGGACCACTAGGAAAAGAGTGCACACCGGAGTTACTGGGGAGAAGAGACAGTCAGGGTCTGAATGGAGCCCCTGAGCACCACTCTGTTTGATGCCATGTGTGTAATGATTCTGGGGTGTACACTGGTGAGGGCTGGAAATTCTGGATTTGCACAGTTAGCTGAAGTGTACAGATCCCTGCAAAACAAGCAGAAATCGGTATCTTGATCTTTTCCATACTTTTATTTATCTATTTATTTTATCTGTAACATCACACTTAGACCTTGATGTCTGAAGAATAGTTTCAGGTCGATGAATTAAGAGCTACTTAATATTTTCCTGCAGCCAGAGAATGGGCAAGCAACCTTGCATATGAGACAGATAGATCACCGGAATGGGAATTCTAACAGCTAGACTCAGGACAAAAATTAACCAAGGAAATCCAGCTTTGCTACTCATAAGCTATTCAACTATATCAAACTGCTCTATAGTTCATATTTATCAGTTGGGTCAAATATCACCTATTTTATCCAGTTAATGAAATTGACAAAAAAAGAAGCAAAAACAATTATGTGCATAAAACCCCAGCACAGTATAGAACACATGCAGCAGGCTCTATTCTTGCTACTCTTCTCCCCATACCTCCTTCTGTTCTCTTGACACTCAGGACAGCCCTCCTAAAGTTTTTAATTTGTAAATAATTTTCACTAAGGCTTGATAATCCTGTCAAATATTTGATAATCATATTGTTATCTTAAAGGCAAATGTAATTATAAGAAGTTTTCACAAGAGGGCATTGGCTCTATTTACTGAGCCAGTGATCAAATATACCTATCATATTGGCTGGCCTCACATAATACTAGGCAATATTGCCTAGCAAGAAAGCAAAGACCTAGGATATTATAAGGAAGAGACCATGTTGCAGTGGTGGGAACATCAGCTTAGAAAGTAGAAACCCTTGTTTGAGCATCCTTTCACAATTATCCATCTGGCCAAATTTGGCTGAGATGAGCCTGAGCCTAATTGTTAATAACTGGAGAAAAACACCAATAATACCTTCCAGAGTTTGGTTAAGATTAATTAACAAAAAATTGACAGCATAATTTGTAAATCAAAAACGTCTCCAATTGGTAGAAATTATTTGTAAATAGCTAAGAGGAAGAGTCGGTCTCTGAAGCATCCTCTCTCTCAAAGACCCAGAACAATCCTCACCCCAAGCCCTGTTTACACAGCCCATGGAATAAAAGGGTTTCCTATCATCTCAGCCAGTGATTCCAGGCTGTTGGTATCAAGCACAACCTTGCTCCACATTACAAATAATGGACATTTTTTTCTTCTTTTTCCAGGCAGCAGCATAAGCCACGTTCAGTGGTGCAAAGCCCCCTTCTTATTGACAATTGGTACCTCTTATCCCTGCTGTGTTTTTTGGTCTCTCTGCACAGTCCTCACCTACTCCATTTCCAGATATTGGCATCAAGCATCAGCATGTGGAGCTCTTCAGAGAACACTCGCTAATCGATGTCTGTGCTGGAATGAGATTAATATAATGAGGCTGACAGAGAAAGAGAAAAGAATATGCAGGTATTGGGATAAAATGAGAAATCAATTACTAGAAAAAAGCGTAATGTGTATGAACATTTCAAATCTAGGTGTCTTTCCTCCCTGGCTCTAAAAGAAGGCAGCAGCCCACCTTGGTAAAGAGAAAACTTCCATAAAAATAGTCTTACAAAGTCCGCTGAGAAAACTGAAACCGGACAAGAACAGAAAACAGAGAGGGAAGCATGGCTATTCTGCTCTCTCCTTCTGGAAGACTTTTTCTCCCCTCACTTCCTGGGCCTCCCTCTGCTTTTCCCTGTGACCCCTGCACACTTCCCCCAACTCGCTCCTTACATATTGGCAGCCCATGTCCAGCCCTCAGCCCCTGATAGCTGGGATCTGCAACTAGCTTCTTTTCCTCTACTCCCACATCTTCTCCCTGGGTGATACCACCCCACCCCACCCCACCCCCCTACAACATCCAAAGATGTCTCCTGGGCTAAGCTATTCTTCTTGTGTGCCAGATGCACCCTCTGAGAGATGGGGCTGGGGCTGCGTCTAGCAGAAAAGCCAGGAGAACTTGAGTTGAAGAGTGTTAGCCCACCATCAAAACTAGAGGATAAAGAGGGTGAACCATGGAACAAGGGAGCAGAGGGAAGTGGCTCCCAGTGAGGACCACAGGCCAGGAGGGGACTGGCTCTGCCCCTTTCAGAAGGGTCCCTCCCATATCATGGACACAAATTATGTAATTATTCATGCACCCATTAGTGTTGTCTTCTTGGCAGATCATGAGCTTCGAGGAGCTGGGGCATTATTAATTGGTCATTCCTACTGCAAGTGACCAGTACAATCATACAAGGACTGCTCCATAAGATATTTTGAAAACAAACATTTGTTATCAAGCAAATAAAAAGACAGTCATATAGCTTGAAAAAAAATCTCAACTCACTATTCTTTTAGGTACTCTGAGGGCACTTTGCATGAAAAATTCTTTTGTGGAAAAACAGCAATATTCTAGAGGAGAAGTCAGTAAGACCTAGTTATTGTCAGCAAATGAAATCCTCAAAGTTCAAGGTGAACTCAAGACATTTACTATATTATACCTCTAATGCCAATCCATATGGTATTGAACAGAAAAAGCACTGCTAGATCTGTAGTCCTTTCCATGCCATGTTGAGACTGTCTCTAAAATATTTTAGCCAGTTCACTTATCTTGAGTACTATTGATTACACTGAGCGTCTATTTCTAAAGTCCATTATGCTATTTATAAAGTCCTTAATCTCACCGTTGACTACTTATTTCTAATGTTAATTATGCTAATTAGCAAAACATCTGGTGTTGACCAGAGTTCAAGATAACCGAAACCCCTCCTTGCCATCTGTGGAGTATGTATTTCTGATTAAAAAAAGCCATAACTTCTGCAGTTTAGCTTAAACTATCACATACATGATGTCATACTGTCCATGCACAAGGATTCTAAAGACTTCAAAACAGCAATGCTGTACATGATAAATACATGCTATTTTTACTTGTTAATTAAAAATAAATAATTGAAACAAGAAAAAAAAAATACAGAGGTTCTAGATTTCCTCCCCAGGGTGGGAAATAGACCTTTGTAAATACAATGCTGAATTTTCTTTCCTAGGGCAGTGGTGAAGAAAAGCAATGCTAATGCCAGATGTTCTCTTAATAATTCACCCTTCTGCATATAATTTCAACTGACACTTTTTTCTACTTCCCTTTTCGTTGATAGAGTTGTAATCCTTAACTATTATTAAGAAAGCTGAGTGTAAGTTGAATAGAGGAAAGAGTCATTACTGTTGTGGTAAGAAAGAAGAAAAATAACAAATCCAAAAGGAACAATTGGAAATGTCTTTATGGGAAAAAACAAAAAACTTCAGAGAGGAAGATGTTCAAAATAGATAGTAATTAGGCAGATATTAATGGGAATCCTGTGCACTAAAATGCAAATTATCAAAACTCAAACTGACCAGGCTTCAGAGGGGAATCCGGACCAGGAATGCTTTAATGCTTATAATAATGTTAATGATGGTGAAATGTGCATGCAATATGTTCCCCTGGAAAGTTTCTCTTCTTAGAAGTAGTCTATCTAATAATGAAAAAAGAAATTATACAGTTAGAATAGCACCATTCTGAAACCCCTAATTAACTAATGGATGACTGTCAATAGCTATTAGCATCACAGAAAGAGAGACATCTAGATACGATGAGCCTCTTGTGAGAGTTACACAAAACTACTATTAAAGTAGTCTAGTAAAAAAAAAAAAAAAGAAGAAAAGAAAAAACCTGAATTTGATTAAGACTTTAGATCAATTGATCAGTTTACAGGAAATACAAGGGACAGAAGTACATGGTAGATAATACCACGGCATTGCCGTCAGTATAATTCACACTGTGGTCATCTCTACACAATGGGCCTGTCAGTTTCATCAACCAAATAATTGCCAAAAGAGGGAATCTGTGTGGGAGCAACTTTATATACAGGAAATGAAGACGCATATCAACTAATTATAGTGTATGTAGCTTATTTATACTCTAATTCAAATAAACAAACTTTTAAATAAAATATAGGGCCTTGGAAGACGTGAGACTGTATCTTAGAATTATCAATGACAGAATACATTTTAAAGATAAAATTGGTATTGTGCTATTTTTATAGGAATTCTTATATTTTAAAGAAACCTACTTAGAGATTTACAAAATAAAATGCCATTAGGTATGGGATCTTTGGTATAATAATTTGAAGTGAAGAAAGGAATTTTGAATATTGATAAAAAAGATTGGTGCTTTTGCAATAATTTTTGGAGCTGACAGGTACATTGGTTTTAGTATACTTTGTTACTCTCTCATATATATACATATATATTTATTATTTGTATATACATTAATTGCCGTAATAAAAAAGATAGACAAAAGATCAAAGCATTCCTTGAATGCTGTTTAGGTTTTTCATGTGTTGTTTTGTCTTGTTTGGTTGTGTTTTGATTTTCATTTTGTTTTTCTTTGTTTTTATATTACAAACATGACACTTTTTTCTGTCTCTCAGCTCTCAGTTGGCCACTTCTGTTTCTGGTCAGTATCTAGGTGGGACAAGATCCAGCACAGAGACCACTGGGTGCCAAGCAGAGACTATACTGTTTTATCAATTTAGTCTGAAAGCCTGACAATGACTCATTGCCTGAGTTCTGTTTCGTGGAGAAGGTATTATTAGCAAAACAGAAACAAAGGTTTGAAGAATTTTAATTTGATAAACATAGATGGAGATGAGCAATATTTTTCCTGTGTTTCTTGTAAATAGATGACCTCCAGACCATACTCCAGACTACATATATATGAATGTCTGTATATGTATGTGTGTATATATCATGTGTATGTGTATATATATATAAATTTGGATTTATTAAGTTAGTCAACTTATTTATTATATATGAATATTTCAAATATATGCATATTTGAAACCTAAAAATATATTTTATTTTGAAGTTGTGTTTTGGATTTTTCCCAATGCAACATCTGTTTGGTAACGGTCATAGGTTCACACAAACACCTCCAAGCAAACATACACTATTCCAGTTATCCACACTATTTTAAAGAATAGACCATTTTACACAAATGTGACATATGAGTCAGACGTCACAATATTGCAATTCCCTGGAAGCCCTGACTTCTCTTCTGCACGTGGAGCCAATCTGCACTAGCCCTTTCAGGGCTCTGCACATCCCAATGCTGGCGTCATCCAGCGTGGATAGATGACACCAGCATCCATCCTTGGGGAGAAGCCAGGGCACCCTGAGGAGGTTGGCTGAGACCAGTGTTTCCAGTTTACAGGCTGCTGGCTACAGACTTCTCTATTTTTCTAATTTGGGATGCTGATAGCTCCACCCACCTCCCTTCTCCAAAGACAGACCCTTCAGAGTCCACACCAAGAAAAAGATCCATGCAATGAGGGATGGAGCAGGGCTCTTTAAAGCATCGTACTGGTTTCTGCAAGCACGTCTGAGGAAGTCTGGCCTCCCTAGGCCCTGGGTGGCCAGCAACTTTTGGCTTTTCAGTGTAAAAATCACAGTGTGCAACCTCAATTCCAGTTGACTGTAGTGAGTGTATATATATGTGTGTGTGTGTACATATATATGTGTGTGTGTATATATATATTTGTATGTGTGTATATATAACCTTTGTGTGTGTATATACACACATATATACATATACTTACATAAGTGTGTGTATATATACATACAAAGGGTATATATGTGTATGTCTTATACATATGTGTCTATATGCTATATAAGTATGCATACATAAATCTTATACATGTGTCTATATGTTATATATGTATGTGTATATATGTATATACACACAACTATATATCTATATAGATATATATGTGTAGTCCTTATGCTTTCCTGTCACCATTCTCTGTTTATTTTCTTCATTGCTGTAATTAGACTCTCTAACTATTGATTTACTTGCCTGTTTTCTACCTTTCTCCACAACAACAGTGTAAGCTACCTGTGCTCCTCTGCAACCCAATCTTTTAAATATCATCTGGCACAAATATGTAAATGACATAAATACTTTTAGTTGAATAAATACTGAGTGCATGACTGCATTGGAATCAGAGCATGGAACAGATGAGAAATGACTTTATTGTCCACCCACATATGGGAATACAGTATCATGGTGTTATGTCTCTCAGTACCTCTTTATCTGGCTACTGCCTACACAGCTTGCAAAACACAGCTCAAGCATACCTCTTCCAGGAAGCTTCCTTGATCCGCAGTGCCTGAGTTAAATGCCCAAATTCCATGTGTTTGCCTTTAATATATAAGTTTTTATATTCTACTATAGTAAGAAGCGTGCTAGTCCACTCTGCCCCAGTAGACTGTGAACTTCTTGGAAGTCACTGTACATCTCCAGCATCCATTAGAGAGAAACACGCACCCCAAGAGTTATTAGGCAGACCAGAGAAACATGTTGATGACTATTTACCAGGGAAGCTGGGATCCTCTCAGTTTATATGCTGTTGTTTATCTGCCCAGTATATAATAGACCCCCTTTTTTTCTTTGTAACAGATTCCTATATTAAGAGGGAACTTTGGATTAACATTGTATGTCACATTTCCCAAACTCTCCTACATATAAAGGTGGCCAATTGTGTATACAAATAATCCAACAAGAGGGGTTTTCTACTAAACAATTACAGGGAGATGAGTGATTCAGCTTTAAGATAGAAGCCATTCTGCACTACTCCTCTTTTTTGTTTCTTATTTTCTTATTATATGGAAAGTGGACATGAGGGCTGGGACTCCAGCAGCCATATTGTATTAGGTAGTCACCTTCCAAGGATGGAAAATTATAAATATAAAGGCGGGCTTGGTCCCAGACAATAGAATCACCACATCAGCCCTAGACCATCTAACTCTGGACTTCTACATGAGAAAAAATAAACACTTTTCTTGTTCAAGCTATTATATTTCAGTTTCTGTTACAAAGAGCTAGAGTAAATCCTAACTTATATAACACTTAATGCTCAAGTAGTGTTATATAGTGTATGATTGTTCAGGAAACCCCTTTGTAATAACTCTTCGCTAAGATGTTTACAGCAAAGGTGAATTGTGGAATATGTCCCAGATTCTTGCAGAGAAGTCAGTATTTGCAGTCATTCTAAAAGCTGTATTTTAGCTATAAAATGAAGTGATAAGGGAGAATCTGAGGATCTGTAGGATTACAAATGTGGAGGGTAATTTTGCTTGTTCAAAGAAATAGAAGTCAGAAAATACTGAGAAGATAAGGGCTGAGCTGGAAAGACTGGTAGGAGACTCCCAGAGGCACGACGAAAAGGCATTTCTGGGAGCAGGAATAGCCCATTTCCTAATGAGGAGATATGAAAGTGGTTCATACTTTGGAGTAGACTGCAATAACTTGGTTTGATTTATAAAAAGGAATTTATAGGTGACACAGGTCAGGGAAACAGTGGTGTATTAGCCCTTTTTTTGTGTTGCTATGAAGAAATATCTGAGGCTGGGTAATTGATAAAGAAAAGAGGTTTAATGTGCTCATGGTTATGCAGGCTATACAAGCATGGCACCTGCACCTGCTTCTGGTGAAGCCACAGGAAGTTTAGAGTCATGATGGAAGGTGAAGTGGGAGATAGTGTATCACAGAGTGGGAGCAAGAGAGAGGGGGCCGAGGTGCCACACTCTTTTAAAAACAACCACATCTCACATGAGCTAACTTATCACTACATCTTAACAACAACTTAACACCACTCACTTATCACCACAGGGAGGGTGCTAAACCATTCATGAGGGATCCTCCGTGCTCATGATCTGATGACCTACCGCCAGATCCCACTTCCAACAATGAGATTCACACTTCAACATGAGATCTGGAGGGAGCAAACATCCAAACCATATCAAGTGGTGAGGAATGGGGAGGTCAGAGGAAGAATAAATGTGTCAGAGATGGCCAAGGAGGCCTTCTTGGAGAGGGACCTGTAAGCTCACCTCTGTTTGTATTCAGATGCAATCCTATGGGAAATGCCAATTTTGATGAAAATAAAAGTGGAGCTCCTCTACTTAAAGTAGCAGTGGCGTTTGCAAACTGTGCATCTCAACTTACTTCTTAACTATTTACTCCTGCCACAGGGGTCATTGTGGAACCACCACAGGATCCTACAGCTCTGGAGAACACGCTTTTACTTTAGTCAGTTTTATTAACAAGAGAATAAAGTTTGTTGAAAAGAAGATGAAGGGCCTATCCCACTGCCCCTAAAGTACTCCCAGCTAAGTGATTGCCTTTCCAAGGACACAGAAGAACAGCACTATTGATAATAGTCAGCTCTGCTAACAGTATCTGAGCGTGTGCTGTATGTCTTAGGCTGCAATTTTACATGCGTTATTTCATTTCATCTTTACAAGAGCCTTATGGGAAATAATTTGTTTGATGGCAGAGTAGGGTGACTATAGTTAACAACAATGTATTGCATATTTCAAAATAGCTAGAAGAGAGAACTTGAAATTCTCCCAACCCATGGAAATGATGAATACTCTAGGTGATGAACACCCCGGATAGCCTGCTATGATGATTATATATTCTATGCACGTAACAAAATATAGCATGAACCTCATAAATATGTACAAATATTATGTATCAATAAAAAATAAAAGAGAAATACTTTGTTAATATTTCTAACATACAGACAAAAACACAGGCTCAGCAAGAATAAATAACTTGCTGGAGTTTATACAGCTTGAAAGGGCAGAGCTGGGATTCAACCCAGCCCTGCTGAGAGTAGAGCCTGTGACTAAATGCACAATATGAGGCGTTGGGGTCACGGAGATGGCCAGCTTTCTTCTTTCAATGACCTGCCAGTCAGAAACAGGACTTGACCTCTTACTCCTCACAATCCCCCATATCACCCAGCCCTTGAAGAATTACACTACTTCAAAAAGGTGGCATGTTCTAGGGATTCTAGGGGAGAGAGCTGGGCTGGGAATTTAGACAAAGACACATTCTTTTTTGCTGTGTGACCTTGAGGAATGTACACAAGCTCTCTGAATTTCAGTTCTTCAGCTCTTATTCAGTATAATAATCCTCCCACGTGGGGATTAGTGGGATCACTAAGTGGGATGGTTCCTTCTAAATCCCCAGCTCACTGCAGTCCTTATCAGCAAATAGCCCTCCACACCTTGCCTCCCAGCCCAGTGCCTCCCCCAGGCTCTGCCCATTAAAATACACTCTGAAAGCCATTCATTTGGAGGCCACTACCTCAATCAGATAATAAGCTGCTGGGGTGCTGCCTCCATTGCCAGCCACCTGTGCTTCACAGACATCACATTCTGTTCAATTAAGTTAAGTGGACTCTGAAGTAGAGTCACATGGCTCTGTCATTTGCCTGATTTAGAAAAAAAAAAGCAAGGGGTGGGGTACAATATGCACTCTGGCATTCTGGTCAGCCAGTGTGTGATATGAAGACATAAACAGAACGCTATTTTAGAGACTGCATTTGCAGCTCCCTCCCAGCCCTGAGGGTTCTGTCTAAGCCGCCTCAAGGCATCAGCCCTGATTAGAAGATTTAGAAAATCAGAGTAATGAAAGCAGCCAGCCACATGTGACACTGATGGGCCATAGAGGTCTGAGGGGCGAGTTAGGTGATGAGTTCTCTCTTACACAGATATTCCTTTGAATTCCTCTTTTGGCATCTGGCACAGTCTAAGTAAAATGTCTTGTCCTACTCTTTTATTCACAGCAAACATGGATTAAGTATTTTCTTGGTGCAGGGAGCAGAGATCACCTCTGCAGGCATAAGCTGAACTCCAGGGCCACTCCGTCACTCGCTCAGTACACAACCTTAAGAAAATGCCACACTGCTCTGAATCAATGTTCTCTCATAAAATGGGTATGACAATAGGGCAGGACCCTGGGTTAGAGTGAAGGTCAAATCATATAACATACTTGGAAATAGGGAAGCACTGTGAATATGTCTGCTTTTTTTTTTTAAACTTTTTTTATATATATATTTATTATACTTTAAGTTCTAGGGTACATGTGCACAATGTACAGGTTTGTTACATGTGTACACACTGCCATGTTGGTGTGCTGCACCCATTAACTCGTCATTTACATTAGGTATATCTCCTAATGCTACCCCTCCCCCCTCCCCCCACCCCACAACAGGCCACGGTGTGTGATGTTCCACTTCCTGTGTCCAAGTGTTCTCATTGTTCAATTCCCACCTATGAGTGAGAACATGAGGTGTTTGGTTTTTTGTCCTTGCGATAGTTTGGCACTACTCACAATAGCAAAGACTTGGAACCAACCCAAATGTCCAACAATGATAGACTGGATTAAGAAAATGTGGCACATATACACCATGGAATACTATGCAGCCATAAAAAATGATGAGTTTATGTCCTTTGTAGGGACATGGATGAAGCTCTTTTTTTTTTCTTTAATATGGAACTTGCATCAGTGAAGGAATAAAGAGTGTATTGGTTTGTTATTGCTGCTGTAACAAATTGTCACACATTTAGTGGGTTAAAACAACACAAACTTATTATCTTTCAATTCTGGAAGCCAGAAGTCTGAAATAGGTTTCCTCGGGCTAAAATCAACGTGTCTGCAGGGCTGTACTTCTTCTGGAGGCCCTAAGGGAGAATCTGTTTCCTTGCCTTCCCCAGCTTCTAGAAGCCACCTGCATTGCTTGGCTTGTGGCCACATTCTTCCATCCTCAAAACCAGCAACTTCAGGCCAAGTCTTTCTCACTGGCCATCTGTCTGGTTCTCTCTATTCTGCTTCTCTCTTCCACTTAGAACCCATGTGGTTACATTTGGAATCCAGACAATCCAATGTAAGCTTATTGGTACTTTAATCCATTTGCAATTTTAATCTCCCTTTGCTATGTAACATATTCAGAAGTTCTGTGAGTGAGGACATAGACATATCTGGAGGGGCTATTAATATGCTGACCATAAGCAGTTACTGAGCTAGGGTGAATAGAAGTTGTAAACAAGACAAACACCAGCTTCTTTTATTAGGTTCATATTTATTTGTAATTTAAGTCCCAGGTTTGAATTCTAGTTCACCATTTTCATCATTTTCTAAGCTGTGTGGCCTTGGTCAGGTAACTGAACCTCTCTGGGCCTCAGTTTCCTCATCTGTTAAATGAGAGTAATAACAATAATGCCTATTTTCTAAGGTTATTCTTGGGTTTAAATAAGTTAATATATGGTCAGTGTTGAGTACTCTTCTTGGCCTATAATAAATTGGTCAGTAACTAGTGGCCATCTTTATGGTTATATACCACATTTGTTTAATGAATGAATGACTGAGTGAATTAATAAGTAAATATAGAGAAAAAGTAATAGAAGTGTTGCCTAATACAGACTCTGGATGTCATGTAATCAAAATTGAAACCACATTCTACAGGGGAAAAAGAGATAGAGCCGCTTTAGACAGGATTAGAAAAGGTGTCATAGAGAAAAGACAACAGATTATATGTACACACCAGGTGCCCTTCTGCTAAGGAATTATACAAATTATCTCAAGGAATCCTATTAATATCCCATCTGATCAAGAAACCTGAAGTTCAGAAAAGTTAAGAAGCTTGTCTGAAGTCACACAGCTTGTCAATAGCAAATCCAACTTTGTAATCTGGTTTGTCAGAATCTGAAGTCCATGCCACCCAATAATTCCTCCCCATTGAGAGGTTAAATATGGTCACTGTGATGTTCCATGTGTCACATAGAACTTGGCTAGGCTAAGATGCTCAGTTGTCTAGCCAAACACAAGTCTTGATATTGCTGTGAAGGTATTTTTTAGATGTAACTAAGTTTAGTAACTTTGAGAAAAGTTGTTAGTAATGTGTGTGGGCCTCATCAAATTAATTTACAACCATAAGAAAAGATTGGGATTTCGTGAAGAAGAATGGGTTCTGGAATTCTCCTCAAGACCACAACGTGGAACCCTTGTCTGAGTTTCCAGCCTGCTGCTCTGTGGAACTCAAACTCAACACTGAAACCTCAGCTCTTACCTGAATTTCCAGCCTGCCAGCCTATCTTGCAGATTTCAGACATGCCAGGCCCTACTATTGTAACGACCCAATAGGTTCTTCTTGCCCATTGCCCAGATAGAGCCAATTTATCAAAACAGGGGAATTGCAATAGAGAAAGATCTTTACACACCTAGAGCTGACTAGATAGGAGACTGGAGTTTCATTACTACTCAAATTAGCCTTCCTGAAAATTTGGAGGTTAGCAGTTTTCAAAGATATTCTGGGGCTGGGGGGAGTAGGGTGGATAAGGAATGGGTGCTGCTGATCAGTTGCGGATGCAATCATAGGGGTGTGGAAAATGGTCCTCCCGCATGCTGAGTTCGCTTCTGGTTGGGGCCACAGGACAGATTGGTGGGTCAGTCATCAGAAATGCAAAAAACAGAAAAAAGACATTTCAAAAGGCCAATCGTAGGTTCCACAATAGTGATATTATCTGCAGGAGTAATTGGGGAAGGCACAAATCATGTGACCTCTTTACATCTATACCTTAGCAGAATCCAGGCTCCTCTCATCCTCCTAAATTGGTGGTCTCTCATTAGCTTTACATACGTGGAATAGTTTTGGGGGAGGGCTATGATTATTTAAACTAGAAACCAAGTTTATCCTAAAGTTAACTTGGCCCAAATCCAGAAATGATAGGGAAGTTTGAAGGTTAAAGGCAAGATGAAGAAGATCTCTTTTACTGTGATAATTTTATTACTGTTATACTGTGATAATTTTCTTACTGTTATAATTTTTGCAAAGATGGTTTCACTATTATATGAGTTACTTCTTTAAAATCTCCCTTTCTTTCTCTGTTCTGTTTCTCTGGAGAACCCTGACTAGTGCAGTCATTCTATTCTTTGTTCAAACACAGCAATGCAGATTTGTTTAATTTAGCTCAGCTTTAACAATCTAAAGATAACACCAAGGGATGAGTACAGTTTGGCGAAAAGTGAATTTGACCTTCTCAGTCAGGATACTGCATGCTAACCGTGCCTCACAGTTAATTCCCCATACCCTTGGGCGAGTCCTCTAGCATCAGAGGCACCAGGTCCCATGTAATCCAGGTACTCTCACTAGTGTTAGAAAATAATGAACCTGACTCTTGAGAGACACAATGTTTACTCTGGCAAGGAATCACACACAAATCAAGGATACTGTTTAGTGTGTGGTTACCCTTGATTAAACCTTCACAAGTCCCAAATGCTGTAGAACACAAAGGGGCATGGACTTGTTTAGAAGCTGAATTTTATTGCTAAGAGAACATTAGTGATTGTCATTGTCACCATCCTCTTTGTTCTACATAGAAATAGTGGTGACCTAGGGAGCAAGTGACCAGACCAGGATCAGCTGGGAGTTGGCAGCGCGCAGAGCAGGTCCCACTCTGAGCACTTCCAGTGTGTGCTCTTTAGGAGTTCCACTTGTGATAAACGATGTCACTTCTTCCACCTGCCAAGAGGAGCAACATTTTATGTCAGGGTTGCTCTCATTCTGGAGACTGGAAGTTTTCCAGAGAGGATGATCAGGAGGCCCTTTTCATAGGAGCAGGACATTCACAGAAAATGCCAAGTGCTGATTTGCCTCCACAAAGAACCTTAAGCAGTGTCTTCCAAATGTCAGTAGCTTAGGGAAAGACAATATCCAGCCGCACAAATTCAAGGCCCACCTCCATGAATAGTAATTATTCAAAAGTGTCTCTTAATAAAAACGAGAGGTAAAATGGATTTTCTTATTTTTTTACTTTTTGTTTCCAGAGGTGCTTGCCATGTTTATCCAGGCCTGAGTCAGCTAAAGATTGGTTTCACTATGCTCCACAGAGTCAAGCCCCTCACTGTTAGACATTGCTGTTGGTCTACTGTATTCAAGAGAGTTTGCCACTATTTGTCATCCTAGAAATTGGCTAGAGCTAGTAGGGAGTCATTGTCTTGAAAACTGCCCCAGGAAACCCCTAACTTTTGGACTTGATAATAAGACGCAATTTTCTGAAGATAGGGTTACAAGACTTTAAGAAGTGGAGAAAGTGAGAGATAAGGCATTAGAGATTGGTCTCAGCTCTCCACTTCATTTGCAAACTATGTAGTCTTGAGCATTTTTTTCTTTCTCTGAGCTAGCCATAAAAAGAGGTTACATTTATCCCCGAGTTCATGCATAGATGAAAAATACCTAGGACATGTTCAGCATCCACGAAGTGCTTCCTAGCTATAAAACTAACACTTCTGTCTATTAGATTTTGAAGTCTTTGTTAGGGGTAGAGCAAAGCCCCGAGGCAAGTTTTAGCTAATCACATTCCGTTGTCTAAACCTTCTTCCCTTGGCTCGTGGTGGATTCATTTTGACTATTAAGACTCACTCATTAAGACTCTAAGGCACCACTTTCAAATGGTATGTCAAGATTCTTCCTGGAAATGTTGGTCTCAGGTTATAGATAAACTACCAGCTGAGACCTGGGAGTACATGAAGGGTACTGCCACTCTGCAGTAGATGGTCTTGGAATTGAAACCATCTTTGCAAAGATTACATCAGTAAGAAAATTATGGCAGTGGGGGAGATTTGATCTGGCCAATCTCCATCCTGCCTTTAACCTTCAAGCTGCCAGATGTTGAGTTTATAGTTTAAATGATCATAGCTTTTCCCCAAAACTCAAATGCCTTTGTCAAGTTAATGAGAGACCACTGGGATATGAGGATAGAGGAATCTGAATTCTGCTAAGGTATACACATATAGAATTGGCATCCATTATTGCAGAGGTCACAAGATATGCAATTTCCCCAATTACTTCTGCAGATAACACCACTATTGTGAAACTTAAGATTGGCCTTTTGTGGTATCTTTTTAGGTTTTTTGCATGTCTGACACCCATGGTTCCACCTGGACCTGACGCAGCTCCTACAGCCCCACCCAGAAGTGACTCAGCACAAGAGGACAGCTGCAAGTCTCTATGATTTCATATTGACCTAATCAATCAGTGGCAAGCACTCATTGCCAAACTGCCCCTACCCCTTCTCCAAAACTACCTTTGAAAAACCTCTAACCTCCAAACCTTCTATGAGATTGACTTAAGTAATAATTCTGTCTTCCATATAGTATAGCAAGCCTCACATCAATTCAACTCTTTCTTTACTGCGGTGTCATGATCTTTGTTTGTGCAGCAGGCAGGAAGAACCTGTTGGGTAGTTACAGAATTCTGTAGGGTTGCATTGTGAAACATACACTCTTCCCTTCTTTTATTCATTTATTGAACACATTCACTGAACAAGTCACTTTTCAAGGGGTTAGGGACACAGCAGAGGAAAAAAATGACTCATCTGCCCTTATAGAGTTGTGTGGTGATGGGGTAGGGATGCAAAATGAAAATACAGTACAAACAAAGGAAAAAATATATATATTACATGATAATAATAAAAAAGTGCCAAGAACAAATGAAAGATGATGTGATAGAGAGCGATGGAAGGGTGGCTTTGGATTAGGCCTTCAGAGGCCCTCTTCAGAAATGTGACAACTGGGCTGAGCCACAAGCTAAGGGTACAAAAGTCTGTAAATTATCCCAAAGAAAAGGCACTGGATGACCTGTGCCAACTGAGGTGATGAGGATGGGGAGAGGGGAGAAGGAAGAGCAGATGTGCATACCAAGCTCTACATGTGGGACTAGAAACTCTTACAGCTTTGGTGCCTCTCCCCAGAGAGAAAGTGAGCTCCTTCAGATGAAAAGCCAAATCCATCTTCCCCATCCCCTAGAACCCTCCCCTTCTTAGGTGGTTCTACATAAAAATATGAAGATATTTTTTAAGCCTGATGAGTGAAAGCACTAACACTGCCTTCCTTGTACAGCACAAAACCTTGAGAATGATGTCTAGAAATAGTAAATGCAACTCAGCAGAATCTCCCCCAGAGTTGTTTAGTAGAGGCGTGTAACAGCATGCAAAGTAGTCACATGCATCCTCTCTGTCTAATTGACTGTCTGTCTCTACTGCCTCTTAATAACAATAAATAGTCTAAGCACTCCATGTGGCTTCTGCCCACCTCCTTGGGAATGAGCACCTGGAAAAAACCAAGCTCCTTGTAGTAAAATGGAAGGTTGGAACCTTTCATCTTTGAAACATGAAGCACAGCATCTTTTTTCTGGGCTAGCATCTGGACGTGGCCCTGGAGGAGAGAGAACTGCCCTGCGGAATATGGCCAAGCCTGCTCCTCAAGAGAGAGCATCTGCAAGAGGTTGTGGTTTCAGAGGGAAGATCGCATTCCAGTAAGTCCATGTTTCCAGGGAGATCTAAGGACAGTGACTCTATTGATCTCCTAGGGTTGTTGTAACAAATTAACACAAACTAGGTGGCTTTAAATCACAGAAAAAAGAGTTCTTTCATTGTCCTGGAGGCCCAAGTCAGAAATCAAAGTGTTGATCTGGCTACTCTCCCTGTGAACAATCTAGAGATGCATTCTTCCTTACTTTTTCCAGCTTCTGATAGTTCCAGGCTTCCCTGGTTTATGAGAGCAAAAACTCCAATCTTTGCTTCTATCTTCACCAGACCTTCTCCCGAGTGTATCTATGTGTCCTCTGCGTCTTATAGGGACACAAATCATTAGATTTGGCACCTACCATAATCCAGGATGATTTCTTCTTCAGATTCATACCTTATTTACATCTGCAGAGACCCTATTCCCAATCGGATAGACATGAATTTTGGAGGATACTATTCAACCCCCTTCAGTGACCTCTTAAATCAAGGGAGAGTTTTGTAGCTTGAATTTGTGGGGTTTGAAGTCTAAAACACAGAACAGGGTTTAGGTTCTATGAGATTTTAAGCATATCCAAATTTTCTAATCTTCTGGAGACAGTAAGAGAGTATTTAATTTTGTATTTTGCTTTTGTTTTATTTATATAATAGAGATGCAATTAAATGCTGTCCAAATAAGGATTAATTTGAGGATTAAATAAAAGGTCAGTTTCACTAAAACCAATGAGCATTTGGCATGGTAGATATAAATGTAAC
The DNA here is from genome assembly GCF_000001405.40 of Homo sapiens. Lineage (NCBI taxonomy): Eukaryota > Metazoa > Chordata > Mammalia > Primates > Hominidae > Homo > Homo sapiens. The sequence continues at coordinate 137,584,153 of NC_000008.11, read as the reverse complement.
GCGGAGGTACTAAAATGAGGAAAGTTCAGCTGACACTATATACACACACACACACATATATATATATATATATATATAAATTTTTTTTTTTTGAGATGGAGTCTCTCTCTGTCACCCAGGCTGGAGTGCAGTGACGCAATCTCTGCTCACTGCAAGCTCCACCTGCCGGGTTCACTCCATTCTACTGCCTCAGCCTCCTGAGTAGCTGGGACTACAGGCGCCCGCCACCACATCTGGCTAATTTTTTGTGTTTTTAGTAGAGACGAGGTTTTACCATGTTAGCCAGGATGGTCTCGATCTCCTGACCTCGTGATCTCCCCGCCTCGGCCTCCCAAAGTGCTGGGATTATAGGCGTAAGCCACCACGCCCGGCCGCACCTGACACTATATTTCATGTTATTTTGGAACTCAAACATGTATCATGCATGTAAAGACAGTAGTGTGCATCTAGTCATTTGTTAAACTAACTGATGACTAAGTATTAGTTTAATATTAAACATATATGTAGTGACCATCTTCTATGGTTTTATTTTCACTTTTTCTGTTGTGATTGGAGTTTTCTGTGTGTAACATGGCCTATGAGACTTCTGCTGCCACCGCAATGCTCTGGCTGACGTGAATGTGTTACCTGTCAGAGGATCTTAGAATGAAACAAAAAAAAAAAATTGCCGCTTAACACAACTTAATGGATCTTTGTTAGCCAGGCATGTAGTCCCAGTTACTCAGGAGGCTGAGGTAAAAGAATCAATTGACTCCAAGAGTTCGAGTTAAAAGTGAGCTATGATTGTACCACTGCACTCCAGCCTGGGTGACACAGCGAGACTCCATCTCTATAAAAAATAAATTAAATTCATGAAAGTAAAACAAAAAGATATTTTACAGATAAACTTAAAACAGTTTTTGTAAGACAAAACAGAAAGTCTGATTTCTATTTTTTAAATGTTTTAAAGGAAACATGTTTTTACATGTGTGTGTGTTTTTTTTTTTTCAGAAAAGTATTATCTGATTTGGGATTATTGCTCTCACACCTCCAAAAGTAGGCTAGGATAAAATAGTGAAAGTATCTCATCAATAAGGAAATAAAATGAATTTTTAAAAATATAAATAATTGAAACCAGTTTACTAAAATAATTGAAACCAGTTTACTAAGTACAATTATTAAATTCCTTAGACACATCTCATTAATTAGAACACAGATAAAAATATATGATGCTGCCTAATAAAGTGCTGGAATTTCCTTTCCTTCGTTAACTGCATGACATTGAGAAATTTACATAATCTCCCTGAGCCTGTTTCTTTAACTGTCAGGTTTTTCACACCTCCTAGGGGACCGTGTGAAAAGGAAATCAGATTTCACATGTGATATGCTCAGTGCCATCCCTGGGGGGCAGATGCCACAGTTTGATACCCCCTTATACCAGTCACACCTACTTGAGGTGCATCTTGAGATGCAGTGAAATGACCTTCTAGATTCTGAAAACTCTTTCAGCTGTGAAAGTTGGTGATTTTTAGAGCAAGCCCATGGACCATCAGAGGGCAAATGTGACTCTCAGTGCAGCCAATGAGTTAACTGTAATTGAAATAATAGTGTGCCTTGAGTGGCTTCTAAGGGTTTTATGGATACATTCTCATCTAATCCTTAAATCAATGTAGTGATGCTGGTGGGTATTCACATTTTGTCAATGGGAAAACGTGCACAGAAAGGTTAAGTAGTTGAAAAGATGGTAGTTTCTTTCTAAAGCACATTTTTAACACTACCTACTTCATTACCTGTCTTTCTTTCTTTTTTCTTTCTTTTTTTCTTTCTTTCTTTCTTTCTTTCTTTCTTTCTTTCTTTCTTTCTTTCTTTCTCTCTCTCTCTTTCTTTTTTTCTTTCTTTTTTTTTTTTTCAGAGTTTTGCTCTTGTGTCCCAGGCTGGAGTAAAATGGCATGATCTTGGCTCACTGCAACCTCCGCCTCCTGGGTTCGAGTAATTCTCCTGCCTCAGCCTCCTGATTAACTGGGATTACAGGCAGGTGCCACCATGCCTTGGTAATTTTTATATTTTTAGTAGAGATGGGGTTTTGCCATGTTGGCCAGGCTGGTTTTGAACTCCTGACCTCGTGTAATCCACCCACCTTGGCCTCCAAAAGTGCTGAGATTACAGCACATCATGTACACATCATGTACAGCACACATGACACATCATGTACAGCACACATGACACATCATGTCAGATGTGTGTTTTTAGGTGGGGGCGCTAATTGCAGTAAAATAAAAACCCAGCTCTATCAGCAAAGCATAACAATTACTCTCATTCTTCCAAGGTCTTTTCGGCAGGCTGACTTCACCACGTTTCCTCCCAGCAGTTAGAATACCTTGCCATTGTTATCATATAGTATTACAATAATCGACCTAAGAGTTGCAACAGTCTAGGTCAGCTAGTAGTCCCATTTACCATTGGCTGGGGCATCCACATTGGGTAAACTATTAAACTTACTTTTTCATCAAGTTCTTATCTTAAAATCTCACTTAAAATAATAATAGTAGCTCTCCCATAGGGTTGCTTTTAGGATTAGATGGGATGATACAAGTAAAGCATTTAGTGTCTGACACTGGGTAAAATGCTCACTAAGCCTTGGCCATTTATTATCTCAACATTTGCAGAGTGAAACAGAGTAAGAAAGCGGTGGTTGTTCGTTAACTATTAGCAGAAAGGGTATAGCAGAGAATAAGTGAAGAGTGATGTGCCTGGAACAGAAAGCTTTAAACAGAAGGCTGACTCTACTTTTAGTACGTCTATAATGAAAGCACTCCTCCTGTATTTCTAAGTTGTGTTGAAGTGATGTAATTCAGCATGCTCGTTGCATAAATAATACAGCCTTTGGGAAGAAAAACCTGCTGGTCTTCTCTCCCTGCTGTGGGTCAATGGTTATCCCATCCAGCCATATTTCAGTAACTAGAAATTATCTCATCTCTCTGCCTAACAAGGGTTATGCCTATCTTGATAAGCTATTAGAACCTAGATTTACCACAGTGTAGCTAAAGCATCCGTTTCTCCCTGAGGCCTGCTGAGGTCCACTAGAAAAAAGTGATCTCTTCAACTCTGGTTTGTTTATTCATTTACTAAATGTTTACTGTGACCCTACTATGGACCAGGCACTATGTCAGGTACAGAAATAAAATGGTGAGCGAAACCAGGCATAATATTTGCTTTCGTGAAGATTTCAGTATGTTAGGAGGGTCAGATTTTAATAAAGTAATTTCATAAATAAATGTAAAGTCACACTCATATAACGTGTTGCAAAGAGGAGGCGATAATGGAATGTGGGTATGTAACAGGGAGAAATGGCAGGTGGGTAAGTCAGAGTGGGAGAGGCTAATTGAGGAAGCCATCATTGAGCTAAAGTCTGAAACAAGAGAGAATGACTGGCAGATAAAGATGTAAGCTTGTGTGTGTTTAGAGAAAGATTACGGGTGTTAGGTGTGTACTGAGGGCAGCAGGTGCATTTTAGGAGTTTTCAGAAAGGGCAAAAGGCCCTGCGGCAAAAGAAACATGATTTTTCTGAGGTGGTGAAGCAAGGGGCCAGGGTGGCCACAGAGGGAAGGTCCCCAAATCCTTGTGATTGTTGGTTTCTCATTTTTATGTGTGTGCACATCCAAGCTCTTCTAGAAGAACACTGTTCAACAGAACTTTCTGCCATCACGTAAATGTTCCATGTCTGCACTTTCCAATTTGCTAGCCACTGACCACCCGTAGCTCCTATGAACAAAAGACTGAGTTTTGATGTCATTTAATTCTAATTATTTCAAATATACAAAGACTGATGCGACTGATGTCTTCCTAATGGACTCCCCAGTTCTAGAGTTTGTCCCACAGACATCTCTTTGAAACAGCCAAGTATAAAGGGGTCCCTGGAGAAACTCCACCTGGCCTGCGCACTGGAAGAACAGGATGGAGCCACAGGTGTTCGAGCCCTTTGCAGCCAGGAGGAGCCTGTCCTCTCCTGTACTGGAATTCAATTTGTGAGGCGGGAAACTGGCTAGCAGGACTCTAGGTTTGCTGAGAGTCCCTGTTTCCCTTTTTTTCCTTTTTGCCCAATACATTCCATTTTTCTCACCCTTCAAAGTGTCTGCAAGCCTAATCTCTCATGGCCATGTGACAAGAGCCTGGCTTTTAGCTGAACTAAGGGGACAGTCCTACAATATCTTAAGCACGTGATTATTCCCTGATCTAACTATATGTTATCCAAAGTGCCCCAAACTGTGCCATTATATAGAAAATACTGATTTGATATTTATTAGAAGCAAATGAGGGGGAAAAGAAAAATCAGAAAGGCAAATTGCAAAGGAATAATTACAACCTTAATCCAGCGTTTTGAGAAGAACTATAATATTAATAATACTAGTTCTAATTGTCATGATGTAGCATTGCTACAACTAATCCATCTATTACTATTATTATTATGAGTTAAATGTTTATTGAGGTTTTTATTTATGTGCAAGTCATTGTTTACCTGCGATCTTTACAATAACCCTGTGATGTAGGTGGTTTTTTATTTTGTCTCCATTTTACTGACAGTAAAATGAAGCAGAGGGAGGCCCCGTTCTATTTGACATAGGTGTCAATGGCATATCATTGACAGCTATCTACTCTTCCTCAGGGGAATATGTTTGGGACAAAACCCTCCCTGCCTTTCCGGATCACCCATTCTATTTTTGAGTGTTCTTGATAGTTTCTTAATTTGTGAGAAAAAAAAAGTCTCTTTCTAATTACATCCATTAGTTGGATCTTTTGCCCTTGGAGCAAAGAAGGGCAAGCTAAAACCTGAATGGAAAAGCCAAGCAATGGCACCTGCAAATAGGAAAAACATACAATCATGAGAACAGATTTCCATAAAATTGTCAACTCTTAAGCTACATGGGGTCATGGTGAGGGGCTATTTGAAGGTCTCCAAATGGTCCTTTGCTTGTGAATACTATATTAAACCACACTGGAGTAAGCAAGCACTTAGACAGCTTCAGGCAAGGAGGACTGCAGCGAATGCATTGCCTCATCAAAGTTCCTCAGTTCTTCGGTTGCCTTAAATGGCACTTTCTCTGAATCTTTCTTTACATTCCGCCTTTAGGCAGAACAAATCATTGCCTCTGCAGTGTTTTCCTAACCACTCATCTGCACTTCTAATTTTAGCTATTTTGCTCAACACTGTACTTCTAGCACCTAAAATAAGGCATGACTCAGAGCAAGTTCTACATATTTGTTGAATGAATGAGTAAAGGTCAATGGTGCTGCCTTGTAATAACTTGATTGTATAGTAATCTGTCTTCCAAGAGTATAAACATTTTAATTCAGGGACTTTTAATGGCTGGCAGGTAATATCTGAGGATAGGGTAGGGAGGGCTTCACTTATTGAATTTGCTATATATGACGTTGAGTACCTCAGGTGAGTAACCTTCATTGATCTTTGCACAAACCTATGGGTAGATATTTTAAAGGTAAGAACACGTTAACTGAGAGAGTTTATACAGCTTGTCCAACTTGGTCATTATATTTTAACATATACAAATAGAGGAATCAAAAATATTTATTTGGCTGGCTTCTGTTCCATCTGTATCCCCAAACTCACCCATGTATCACCTTTTCTTTCTAATATGAATTTGGTTCTAGTCCATTTCAGTGTTTTCAGGCTGGAGAAATGTATGGTTTTCCTTGTTCGTTTAGTTACACGTTTTATTTCTTATTTTTTCCATCACTTCTGCCAAGGGATTTGTTTCTAGAAATCTACAAGTGGGGGGCAATGCCTCACAGAATACTTGAGAACTTTATTATATGCCTAGTGAAAAGAGGAAAAGAGTGCCTAGCACACAGAGAGGGAAAGGAAGGAAGGAAGAAATAAAAGAAGAAGAAAGTAACGAAAGGAGGAATGGAGGGAAGGAGGGAAGGAAAGAAAGAAAGAAAGAACGATGCAATGCAGTTGAAAGAATACATTTCGGTATTAGGAAGATCTGGTTTCACACACTGTGTGACCTTGGGAAGCAACTTAACTCTCAGAGTCTCCTTTTCTGTATCTGTGCAGTGAAGACAACATCCATGTCCAAAATTTGTTTTCAGAATATTTTAAAATCAAGGATGAAAATACTAGGAGAAGGCACACTGGAAGGGTCAGCATGCACGTCTTTTCTTCACTCTGTAATTTGTCCTGGGAAAGGGGTTCCTACCGGACTCTGTCCACAGAAGCATTAAATAATGTCCACAGTGGGTGTGAGAACCACAGTGTAGTTAATCTGATTGTACATTACTTTGCTGCCTGCTGAGGTTTTCAGGATGAACTAGTTACAAATTATGATTTCAGGGTTTTTTTTTGGCTGAATTAGACCTGGCTGATAGAGATGAATAATTGTGATAATTTTTCTTCTTAATAAATCATGATAAAAGTACTATATGTTTACTCTACAAGTCTGGCAAATAAACAAATAAGGAAGGCAAACTATAAATCAATGATGACCTCATATTCAGAGAAAGTCACTCTTTCTAGGCGTTCTCTTTAAGGACGTGGGATATTTTGTTTGTTTTTGTTTTTTGCCCCTAACTCCCTTCTCCAGTTCTATCTCTGATTTCTAACATAATGCCTGGCACATATAGCAGGTTCTTAAAACACCTTTATTGGATTAATGGATATTTATATAATTGGGACTGCATTTTCTATAAGGCTGCACATCTCACAGTTTTACTTAACATTATCATCAAGAGTGCTTTAACATAGCATTAAACATTCTTTGATACACCATGAAAATAGATGCACAGCACGCAATCTTGGGCCATACTATTATTTATTGAACTAATTTCTGAAGTAGAGAAATTTAAACACCTTCAACATTTTCAAAATTACTAATACTACCATCATAAATAAATATCTTCATTAATAAGTACAGAGGGAAAATTGAGTGACAGTTCTCAGAAAATTGGGAGACCATCAAAATCATACTTGATCTTTTTAAAGAAATATTCCTTAATACAGATGAAACTAAGTTTATTTTGAGGCTGCTGATGAGTATTGTGAAATTGCAGGCTAGAAGGTATTTGATATTTTATATGTCTACCAGTAGTGCATGAGAGCAGTCATTTCAACCTTTGCTCATTACAAACATTGATTTTTGTTTTGGCTAGTTTGCAGTTGACACATGGTACCACACTGTTATGTTAATACTTATTTCAGTGAGACTGGAATATTTATTTTCACTAAAATTATCCAGTGGCATCAAGATGCCTGGTGAAGAGGCAAGTCAGTGTTGGCATGCAAATCTTTCCAAGGCCTGTAGGAGGATGAACAACACGCCTGGAAAACCAACAAGGAAACAAAAACCCTTCCAGCTTACACTTATGGGGCAAGGGTGGCAATGAAGTTCTGCTCATGAGGAACAGAAAACACTTTTCATTGCGAACACAGATAAACCAACTAATTATTTCTGTTCAAAAATACAGATTGTGTTAAATATTGAAATATTGGCAGAAAGCCCCAAACACTAAATTTTGCGGTTTGGTAAATTTTAGACATAAACAAAACATAGATAAGTCCTCAAGTGCTTCAATGTAGTATATTTTCATAACTTAATAAATTCATTTCATCAAACATTTATTATCTGCTGTGTTCCAAGCTCTATGCTTGCCATTTGGAATGTGCAAATTAGTAAGACATGCACCTCTCCTCAAATTTCTCATCGTTCAGAGGAGAAGACAGAAAATTAAAACAGCACTCAGTACAAAGTGTAATTCATGTGATAACACTCATATATACAGAGTACTATAGGAACAGAGAAGGGGACACATAAGGAAAGACACGTGTTGTTGAGATCATTCTTAAGGGATGAATCAGAATTTACTATGTGGCTGAAGATATAAAAGATGTTTCAGAAAAAAATTGACATACGTGAAGGTACATGAATGCCTAAGCTGTCTTTGCATAACTTTACACTCTTCAATGTGGCTGCATTTAGAATCTCAACATTAAAATACCCAGTGATCAGGATGGTAAAGTAATTACATAAGAGATTAGGAAGACATATCTGTTGAATGAGAAGGAGTTGGACTTTGCCACAATAATGATTGGGAGATCTTAAATAACTTCAAATAAATAGATTTATAATTAGAAACATCACTATTTTTTTCCATATTGAGAATTGATTGCAAGTGGGAGGTGAATGAAGGTAGAAAGGTGAATAGTCTTAATGATATTCCAGGGTTCCAGGAAGAAATGATGACAGACTGAGTGAAGATGTGACAGTGAGACTGGAGGGAAGACGTCAGTTATAAGAAAGGTTAGGAGGTTATAGTCATTTGCTTCTAGGAGATAGTTCAGTAACAAACCACTCCAATTTTCAGTGCCTTACAAAGATGGCTTATTTCTCACTCACTTTGGTTTCTCTAGGTCATTGGGACTTTGCTCATGTCTCTTCTCATGCTTTGGCTTAAACGGAAGGAACAGCCCTATATAGAACATCTATTATTATAGCACAGAGGAAAGGAAAGAAAATGGCCCCAATATTCAATGACACTAAGGCTTTTGCACCGATGTAGCATATATCATACCCTTTCATACACCTTTGGATAAAGCAACTCTTATGGCCAAGCCCCCTAGGAATGGAGATATATAATCATTTAAGGGGAGGGAATGTTTGAGAACAAAAATATAATTCATCACAAGAGATAAAATGAAATTAACTTAGAAGTTCATTCATTGCGTGGGCCAGTGTGGTAGGGCTTGAGGGAGAATGATCAAACAGATGGAGACATCCAGGATGATTCTCATGGTTCTTGACTGGCACTGCTTGAAAGAGAAGGGTGCTATTCAACAAAATGCTAAATATGAGAGTCATCTATGTTCAGAGAGGTAATGAGTTCAGTCTTGAAAATATCAACTGTAACTTCCAGGTGCAGTTGTTCAGTAGGTATTTGTCCTTATGGGTCTCAAGCTCACATGTGGTTAAATCTATTGACCTAGTTTTATTTTTTAAATTAAAAATAGTAACTGCTTGCTCTTTATTATACAATTCAATTCAATTTAATTTCCATATTATTAAAAGTGGTAAAAACTATTTTTAGGTGGCCAAATTCTTTCCTGAAGAAAAATGACAGAGAAGTAGTACCTTAGTGTAATGCAACAAGAGCTCCATTCTATGTTGTTATTTATGTTGTATATTCCATCTGCTTTCAAACACAGTTGAAGTAGGAATATGGAGACAGAAGCTCAACTCTATAGCCCCATCTCAATACAACATGTAGCTTTAGACAAGCTGCTATCTGGACTTCAATTTCTTTATCTGACAGTTCAAGGTTCCACAAGGACAAAAACTTAATTTTAGTTACACACTCATGTATCACCAACATTCAGAACAGCTCTTGACATGTAATCGATAACAAGTAACTATTTGTTGAGTTAATTGAGTTTTAAAAATTAGGTTCTATAATACCTTATGTCTTTCATGGTTACACTGATGCTTATATTTGATGGCAAATGCATTGATGAAAAGTTATCCAACTGTTCTTCAGTTTAAGCCACTCTCCTTCTTGGGTGCTTTTCTTCACTAAAACATGCACCCTTCTAAGAGGACTATGTCCAAGAATGCCAAGAAAGTTTCACAGAAAGTGAGCCTCAAAATGTGGGTTTTCAATAGATGGTGAAGAGTCAAAAAATAAAAAATTGGATTCATAAATGTCTGCTCAGTGTTTGCCTATCCAGCATAAGTCATACTGACCTCGTGCATTGCCAAGCACCCTAACTGCACTGAAGGGGAAGCTTTACATAACAGAGGTGGACATTTGGATTTATGAAGTCAGTGTTTACTTGAGTTGCACAGAATGCAATTTTCCAGATCCACTTTTGCACTTTGAATTTTGTTGCATTTCTATTCTTGTTTGGTCAATAGTTTCTCAAATGGATGCATTTTTATTTCCCCAGGTCACTATTCTACAACATTAAATAAAACCTGTGCCAGAACTAATCTTTGCAGAACTTAATCTCAGCTGGTTGTGCTTTTCATTGTGCCTCTTGCCATTTTATTTTGCTGAGCCTATAGGGTTGAAAAAATGGGGAAAAAGTTGATGAACAGCAAAATAAAGTGATCAATACATACTTGTATACATTTAGCACAAGCTCACTTACTTACACAAAAGACTCATAATTAACCCCTATATATGCATTAATGAGGGTCTCGTGTTGATTTTAGTCCTCCCTGGATTTAGAAAATAGATGTAAACCTAACTGTTATTTAGTAAAAAAAATTACAGTCCTATTCCTTGCCACATGTCCTTTTCTCAGCATCTTAATCTGTTCTACATTGTCATCAGTTTGAATTTATCCCATGCAGTTTACGTCTTCTAAATATCTCTACTACAGATAGGCTTCTTCCTTCCCTCCCTGACATCTTATCCTCTTCACTTTGACCCACTTCAGGAACCTGGCCTTCCAAGTCCTGGAATGAGCTGTCAACATTCTCCATGAGTCTTTTCCATGTGACCGAGTGGGAATCGGTGTCTTGACCAGGGGGATTTAACCCAGTGATTGGGTTGGCAAAATTTGATTTTCCCTCACTTAGAAATTTGGAAGTGAAATGTGGAGATGGGTTTAATTAATCATAGGTTCCAGACTAGATGAAAGGCTCATGTGACTCAGGACTGCAGGCAAAGTCAGAGGCTGCCAGAATGGAATACACAAAAAAGATGAGGGAACCTGTATGTAGAGAAAAAAGTATAAAATGCACAAATATGGGAGATGCATAGTTAAAAGTATACAAATGTGTTAGTTTTCTATTGCTGCTGTTGCAAATTACCACAAATTAGGTGGTTTAGAAAAGCATACAATTACAATTCCCAGTGCTGTGGGTCAGGAGGCTGACATGGGTCTCACTGGGCTAACATCCAGGTGCTGGCAGGGCTGCACTCCTTTTTGGAGGCTCTGGGAAGCATCCGTGTCCAAGCTCATTCAAGTGGTTGGCAGAATTCAATTCCATGTGATTGCAGGACTGGAGCCCCTGTTGGCTGCTGGCTATTAACCAGGGATCCCTCTCAGCTTTTAAAAGCTAATTACTTTCCTTGAACTGTGGCTTTTTTCCTTCTTATTCAAAGTCAGGAACGGTGGGTCGAACGTTTCTCATGATTCACATCTTTCTCACTTCCCCTTCTGCCTCTTCTGTTCCTTGCTCTCTCCTGTAGCTGAATCTCTCCTATTAGGTCCAGAAAGAAATCCTCCTCTGCTCTTATGAGCTCATGTGATTAGACTGGGGCCATCCGATATCCAGGATAATGCCATTTTATGGCCCCTGATCTTAATTATATAAATGCTTTTATAGCAATACTTAAGTTCATGTTTAATTAAATAACCAAGGGATTGAAATCTTTGGGGTGATGTTTAGAATCCCAGCTACTTCAGGAAAAGAGAGCACGAGAGAGACTCAGAGATGCAGAGGCAGAGACAGGGATGCTGAGAGGAGTCGATTGCTTCCTGATAACAATTCAGTCCCCAGTTCAAACCCTTCCTGAAGCTTTGAAGCACTTCCTGCTCTGGGTATTAATGAGATCCCCCTATATCCTTGCTATATCATCTCCATTTACTTATACTGGCTTAAAAGGATTCTATTAACAAACACATGCCCTATGCCTAAGTCGTTTTGACACAATTAAAATTTTCCAACATCAAATAACAATTTGGTGTTTAAGGAACTGTACCCTGGTTTCAGTATGCATGGATTCTAGACCAGGCTTCCCCATATGGTAGACGTTTCATTCTGTGAGCTTCATTTTATAAAATCTGTAAAATTGAGATGAATTATAGGCTAACTCATAAGCTTCTCATAAGGGTTAAATGGATAATGTTTGCAAAAATGTTCACTGCTGACAACAAGTAACAGAGATGAGACACAGTAAGTCATGCAAACTTGTAAGTTTGTTTTCAAATGGTACCTCACACTTGACCAGTACAAAATATGGCAGGCAAGTTTAGTTTCCCAAGGTCTTCCAAATATATATCAACACAATTATGTATTTTATTATTTTTCTTTTCCTTGTTCTTTCAAACCCATTCTGACTGCAATTATACATCACCCTCTTCCACTAGTGGGACTGACCAGGCCACAGTCAGCTAAGGAAAATATGGCTTGCTCTAATGTAATCTCACCAACATGATCGGTGACACATTTACTTTAAGTAAAATGAAAAAAGTATTTATGGGCTTTGAGCACTGGGGTCAAAGGTATAGTCTTCTGAATCATTCACTTAGCATGTAATAGGATCTGAGAGAAAAGTTAGCTAGATCAAGGGGATGGAAGAAATGTCCATAAGTTACAGATTTGGTGGAGAAAAGATAGAAGTTCTTTTCTGTTGGAGACTATTTTGACTGTGAAGTATGTGTCAAGATTATCTGGTGAAAATACAAGAAACATGATGGAGCATTGGTGGTCGAAGGGTAACAGGATCGCAGAGTTCGAAAATAGTCATTGTCAAGAAGGGTTGGGTTGACTGGGAAACCATACCAGGCAGACAATATGGGATGTAACAACAACAATAGGTAGCATCTCCCAGGCCTTGAGGAGGAGATAAATACCATCACCACGAGAAATGAGGAAAGACTTTTCCAGTGGGGCATAACTGAGCTGATTCTAAAAGGATGAGAAGCAGTTTGCAGTGTGAAGGAAGAAAACATTAGAGGAGCTCATGTTAGGATAGCGCTGGACAGGCTCCCTAGGCAAAGCATAGGGTGTACCTGGTAGAGGGCAGCTGAAAGGGGTCAGATATGTGGATGTGGAGCCCATGCCAGACTGCCCTTGCTAATTAGAATATAGACATTATTTGGTAGACAACAGAGAGATAGCAGAGGGCTTTATATACATGCTGTGTGAGTCCTTATTATTTAACTTTTCATTCATTTATTCCATGAATATTTATTGAATTGCCATTAAGTGTCAGGTTTATATTTAGAAAGATAACACTTGGCTGGGTATGGTGGCTCACGCCTGTAATCCCAGCACCTTGGGAGTCCGAAGTGGGAGGATCATTTGAGGTCAGGAGTTCAAAACCAACCTGGCCAACATGGTGAAACCCTGTCTCTACTAAAAAAAAAATACAAAAATTAGCCAGGAGTGGTGGAAGGCACCTGTAATCTCAGCTACTTGGGAGGCTGAGGCAGGAGAATCACCTGAACCCAGGAGGTGGAGGTTGCAGTGAGCCGAGATCACCCCAGGGCATTCCAGCCTGGGTGACAGAGTGAGACTCCGTCTCAAAAAAAAAAAAAAAAAAAAAAAAAAAAAGAAAAGAAACCTAACACTTACAAAAATAACCCTAATAATTCTAATAATAATTATTAAGAGCAAACATTGATTGAGGGCGGGCCTAGGAATTTCTAAGTGTTGGATAAATTCTTTCTCCATTTGAGTAATATTAAGTGTAAAGCAAGGTTACTAGGCATCCTTTTAAATGAGAACACAGGTACAGAGAGGTTACTGAGCCAAGCTCAAATCGCATCACTATAATTCAGGATCCCACATTTGAATGTAGGCAGTGTGAAGTCCGAACTTGAAATCTTAATGTCCCTTTGCAAGAAGACCTGCGGGAGAATTAATAGGCAGAGAAGGACCTCTCCTAAGAGTTATTGCTCCAGGTCTTAATGTGTTATTGTTTGCTGGGGGAAGGAAAGCAAAATGAAAGAGTAGTCAGAAAAAAATATTGGCATGTTATATGAATATTTCTATTTGGCTGATATACTAATCTCTAACTGAAAATGGTTCAGTCCCCTGAATGAAAAATCTATATTGCTTATAGGCACAGCTCTCTCAACAAGTCCAGATATCCGATGAACTCTTTGTCATGAAACACTTTCTCATCACCTGTGGTTTCTTATAGCTCATTAAATTAAGACTTCCAGAGTAGAGTAGATATCAAGTTTATACCAACAGATAAATTGAGATTGTACTTACAGTTTACAGGGGTTAGAAAAGCTGGTTTAAAAGATTGTTATATGTGTGTTCTTGTAACTGGAGCTAATAAAATTGACATAAATCAGGAATAATGGGTGTTCTCTAGTGGGTACTTTCACAGATTAAATTAATGCTAAAACAATATTTGTAGCCATTTATAAAAGGTTTTGAAGATGAAAGCCATCCTAACTTTTAAGTTTTATTATTATGTAAAACAGGAAGATTCATTTTTTACAAAGTCTTCAAGACAAGTTAAAACTGAGAAGACAATAAAATTCTTATTTAAAAATTATTCAAACAGATCAATAATATAATTTTCTTTATTGTTTTATTTCAAGGTTTGTATGCTTTTCTTGCATCCAAGAATTTAAACTTATTGAAATGCAAGTAAAATATTTTTATTTGTACTTCTCTGTTTTATATTTAAATAATACATAGAGATAAATAAAATAATTTCAACCTGTAAGAATATTTCTATATATTTGGTTTTTGTAGATTTCTTGCTTACACACACACATCCCACATATACAAGAAATATATATATATAACATATATAAGAAACATATATACATACATGCACATAGACACACAAGATGCATGTGTTATTTATATATGTGAAAGATAGATAGATAGATAGATAGATATAATATTACTGAGAGACACAGCTGAGAGCATCTCTTAATACCTGTGGGCCTTGGATGCAGTATTCAAACTGAGGAACTTGATAAAATAGAAACATTTCTTGTTTTCTATATTATTATATGCAAAATGGTAAATGTTCTATAACTGATTGCTGATTTTATTGATATCTAATTACTTGTAAATGCACAAGTTAAAAGTTGTATGTTGTATGTTGTATGTCATTTATTTCTTTTGTCCTCAGTTTTGATTGCCATCTTTTATGAAGAGCACTGGTAAGGGCTAACATGTTTAGGTGGTGATGTCACTGAATTAATATCATTCCATAATCAAATGGGGGGGCTTGTGTTAAGACTTCAGATTATTCATGTAGACAAAAGGCAAAAGTAGATACAGAGGAAAGAGGTTGTGGACTTTGCTAGACATTTTTGTTAGCCACCTTCCCCCATGTAATGTTTGCCTCCTATGCCCTAATCAAATTCTACATCATATCTTCCCGATGAGAGCAGAGAATAAATAATTCAGAAATGCACCATCTTTGTCCAACTGGATCGGATCACAGTTTGGCCCACCTGAAGTCCTCAGTTCCTCCAGTTGGCTATTGGTCCTATTTCTGCAACAGCTCCACCTCTTTGACCTTCAGGTCCAGGGGTGCTAACAGCTTCCTGCTATTACTATTTCATGTGCCTCACTTTTCCTTGTTGGTTCCTTCAAACCTGTCTATATTTTTTTCAAATATTGTTATCTTTTGTTTAAACTGTCCTTTTAAATGTGTCATTTATTTTCTGCAGGAATGCTAAATGATATAGGCAGGTAGGGATTTATTTTAAACAGTACAGATTATCACATTCTACTATAGTATGTCTTGAGACTCTATAGATTTCACACCAATCTGTTACTCTTTTTCAATTTCAAGCAGTAAACTGGAAAAACAAAAACCATAAGGAGAATAATAATAATTAACATTTCCTACAACACAACTTTTGTGGTGCTGCAAACAACCACAAAACCTCAGTCGCATATAAAAATAAGTGTTTATTGCTAATACTCTGAGGTGGTGAGCTAGATAGCTTGCTGATCTTGCCTGGCTTCATCCAGATATCTTAACATCACCTGCCTTTTAGTTGATCTGAGATGGCCCTTGGCTGAGACATTAGGGGGAGCTTGGCTCTTCCATGGGACTCCTGCTGGGAGCATCCCATTATTGTAGGTTTGTCCTTCCCCATGGTGATGATAGAGGCAAGGACTACAAATAAAAACATGCACATTGATTTTTTTCAAGCCTCTGATTGTGTGATGTCTACTACATCCCACTGGCCAAAACAAATCACAAGTCCTAGCCCAGAGTCACTGTGGCTTCACAAAGATAAAATACATGGGTGTGGGTGAAAAATAATTAGAAAGGTATTTGACCACAATGTCTAATAAAATGACAGTTGCAATTATTTTATATATATACATGTGTATGTGTGTGTGTATATCTATATCTCCTAATTTTAAAGATAATATATCCACTAGAATATTCTTTAGACTTTTTAAACCCTAACACATCTGAATCAGATTACTATATTCTTCTTCCAAACATCACATGGACTCCTCCATCAGTACTTCCCTGCATGGGGTTGACATCACTGTCCATTCAGACCACAGGCTGGAAACCAGGGGATGCTTTCCATTCCTAATTATCACTTCATAGCAGTCGTAAGCTATGGCGGTCTCTTGTTTAGTTCCTATATATTTCCCAGAACACTCCAGTTTTTTAATATCTACTACTGTTACCCAAGCTTAAGGATATCTTACGTTTTTAGCAAGCTACTAATCCAATATCTCAAGTATTATTTATATCTTCAATTTTTGTATTTGTAAAAGCACAAATACCAGAGCAATCCATCTAAACAAACCACTTTGCATACCACTCTCCAGCCTACAATTCAACAAAGTCTTTCTAAAGTGTGGGAAAAAAAGCCTGAATTACTTTCAACAGACCCCTGAATTCCTCTTCATCATCTTCAGACAATCTTCTCTGCTCTACACTTCACTTATATCAACTGACTTTCCATTTTCTGCATTAAATCTATGATCAGCCAAATGGCAGCTCATGCCTGTAATCCCAGGCACTTTGGGAGGCTGAGGCAGCAGGATAGCTTGAGCCCAGAAGTTTAAGACCAGCCTGGGCAACATAGCAAGACCCTGTCTCTACTAAAAATACAAAAAATTAGTCAGGCTTGGTGGTGCACACCTGTAGTCCCAGTTAAGGATAGGGCTGAGGTGGGAGGCTGAGGTGGGAGGATCACCTGAGCTTGGGAAGTTGCGGCTGCAGTGAGCCGAGATTACACTGCTGAACTCCAGCCTGGAAGACAGGAGTGAGACCCTGTCTCAAAAAAAAAAAAAAAAAAAAGCAAAAAAGAACCTAAAATTGAATTTTGTATTTCTATGGTTTGCATATATCTCTCTACTTAGATATCCTTCTACTTTCTATTATTTATTTATCTAACTCCCAGTTTATCTTTTTTTTTTTTTTTTTTTGAGACGGGGTCTCGCTCTGTCACCCAGGCTGGAGTGCAGTGCTACGATCTTGGCTCACTGCAAGCTCCATCTCCCGGGTTCACGCCATTCTCCTGCCTCAGCCTCTCGAATAGCTGGGACTACAGGCACCCACCACCACGCCTGGCTAATTTTTTGTATTTTTATAGAGATGAGGTTTCACCGTGTTAGCCAGGATGGTCTCGATCTCCTGAACTTGTGATCTGCCCGCCTTGGCCTCCCAAACTGCTGGGATTACAGGCATGAGCCACCACGCCCGGCTCCAGTTTATCTCTTCCATTCATATTGGAAATCACCTTTTCAGGAAGCTTGCTTGAATTCCCTCTGGTTGTGAAAATCGAAACTCTTCTCTTATCCTCATACTCACCACATTGCTGTTCAAAATGTTTACCTACATGGTAATATCCTTAAATTTCACCCCAAGCAATGTCCCAGCAACGTCCTGAACACAGCAGATGCCCAATAGCTCTTCTATTGTTGTTGCTAAACTAGAATTAACTAAAGCGAACTGGTGTTAAAGTCAGCTCACAAATGACAAAATTGTAATTGAAATCCCAATATTCTGCCTTTAAATTACTTAATTTGAAGCATGGCCAAGTTTCATGCTCAGAGTACGTTATTAATTAGATAGCAAATTTTATAAAATGCCTACTATGGGTCTGGTTAATATTCTTGGGAAAAGCTTACATTCTAAAATCTGCTACGTTCATTCTGACATATATTTTGGATAGGAGAGGATATTATAGATTTGAGAATGATTTTCAAAAACTGAGAAATAACTTTGAGAGGCCAAGATGGGAGGACCATTTGAAGTCAGGAGGTTGAGAGAAGCCTTGGCAACATGGTGAAACCTCATCCCTACTAAAAATACAAAAAAAAAAAAAAAAAAATCTAGGTGTGGTGGCATGTGCCTGTAGTCCTAGCTACTCAGAAAGCTGAGGCAGAATTTCTTGAACTCGGGAGGCAGAAGTTGCAGTGAGCCTAGATGGCACCACTGCACTCCAGCCTAGGGAACAGAGGGAGACTCCCTCTCAAAAAAACAAAACGAAACAAACAAACAAACACACTGAGAAATAAAGCTTAGAGATATAACTGCTCAAAACGTACTGCTCAGTAAATGCACATTGTCAATTTCTAGTACCACCTTGGTTACCCAACTATCCAAGAATGTGGGTTTTTCAAGCTCAAAGCAGTTTGTCCTTTCTAATAATTAGAAAGCTGCTGCATATTTAATACTAATTCCCTATGCTTTTTTAGGGCTTACTTTTATACTCTACTGCAAATGCTTTTTTTGTTCCAATAGGATATTAGTTAATGAATGCCGTTATGGGATTAGATTCATTAGCTTAATTATTCTTCTTCAGGTTCTTGGATCTGTAACTTAATCACTTTAAGCTATAGGCTTCTATTTTTATTACAGTACATACAATTAAATTCCTTAAACTTCAACTAATTTTGTGAAGATCATCAGAAGATAAATATGAATAACAATACATCAACTTCCCTTTATATTTTGCAAATAATTTCACCTACTTTATCTCATTTGGTGGCTTTTTAAAAATTGCCATTTTTTCCTGAGTTGTAATTTAGACACTTTTAGAAATTCTGCACATAAAATTGAAATATTGCTACCAATATATGCAAAATTATTTCTAGCAATTAGATAGGTAGATAAACAGAGATAAAGAGATAGTGAATTTATCAAGTATATTTGCACAAAGTTGAAATGATATTTGAAAAAAGTACTCAAAACTTGCCAGTATTGAAAAAGACAAAACTATTGCAATATACCCTTCACAACCTAAAAGTAATCTAGTTTAAAAATGTGAATCTAGTTTAAAATGTGATGGGGCTATTAATGAGAGTGGAATGAATCATCAAATAAATGTGCTGAATACATGCAAGAATGAATGACCCTAGAAAAATTTCTGATAAGACTCTAACACTTGGTACAATAAGTTTGATAAAAAACTTAAAATATAAAATAAAAGATGTGTAACATAATCATAGAAATATGCAAAGCTTTTATCTTTGTTTCTTCCAGTTTAACCTAAGGGAGAAATCCAGACACATGAAACACTATGTATTAGGATATTTACCACAGTGTTACCTATAAATGGTAAATAAACAATGCAAAACATCAATATCATATGAATCATTATGATACATCATTCTGCTAACATATTATAACAACATGAAAATATACTAGTTACTATATAGATTCAAGGGAAATTAATGTAATCTAATCAGAAGTAATAAAAGCAAGGTGTAATACACTGTGATAAAAAAATTTGTCTTGGGTAGCTATGGTAAAGACAAGAATGTAATTTATGGCTGGGCGTGGTGGCTCACGCCTGTAATCCTAGCACTTTGGGAGGCCGAGGTGGGTGGATCACCAGGTCAAGAGATCAAGACGGGGGAGGAGCCAAGATGGCCGAATAGGAACAGCTCCGGTCTACAGCTCTCAGCGTGAGCGACGCAGAAGACGGGTGATTTCTGCATTTCCATCTGAGGTACCGGGTTCATCTCACTAGGGAGTGCCAGACAGTGGGCGCAGGTCAGTGGGTGCGTGCACCGTGTGCGAGCTGAAGCAGGATGAGGCATTGACTCACTTGGGAAGCGCAAGGGGTCAGGGAGTTCCCTTTCTGAGTCAAAGAAAGTGGTGAGGGATGGCACCTGGAAAATCGAGTCACTCCCACCCGAATACTGCGCTTTTGCGACGGGCTTAAAAAACGGCGCACCATGAGATTATATCCCGCACCTGGCTCAGAGGGTCCTACGCCCATGGAATCTCACTGATTGCTAGCACAGCAGTCTGAGATCAAACTGCAAGGTGGCAGCAAGGCTGGGGGAGGGGCACCCGCCATTGCCCAGGCTTGATTAAGTAAACAAAGCAGCCAGGAAGCTCCAACTGGGTGGAGCCCACCACAGCTCAAGGAGGCCTGCCTGCCTCTGTAGGCTCCACCTCTGGGGGCAGGGCACAGACAAACAAAAAGACAGCAGTGACCTCTGCAGACTTAAATGTCCCTGTCTGACAGCTTGAAGAGAGCAGTGGTTCTCCCAGCACGCAGCTGGAGATCTGAGAACGGGCAGACTGCCTCCTCAAGTGAGTCCCTGACCCCTGACCCCCGAGCAGCCTAACTAGGAGGCACCCCCCAGCAGGGGCACACTGACACCTCACACGGCAGGGTACTCCAACAGACCTGCAGCTGAGGGTCCTGTCTGTTAGAAGGAAAACTAACAAACAGAAAGGACATCCACACCAAAAACCCATCTGTACATCACCATCATCAAAGACCAAAAGTAGGTAAAACCACAAAGATGGGGAAAAAACAGAACAGAAAAACTGGAAACTCTAAAAAGCAGAGCGCCTCTCCTCCTCCAAAGGAACGCAGTTCCTTACCAGCAACGGAACAAAGCTGGATGGAGTATGACTTTGACGAGCTGAGAGAAGAAGGCTTCAGACGATCAAATTACTCTGAGCTACGGGAGGACATTCAAACCAAAGGCAAAGAAGTTGAAAACTTTGAAAAAAATTTAGAAGAATGTATAACTAGAATAACCAATACAGAGAAGTGCTTAAAGGAGCTGATGGAGCTGAAAAGCAAGGCTGGAGAACTACATGAAGAATGCAGAAGCCTCAGGAGCCGATGCGATCAACTGGAAGAAAGGGTATCAGCGATGGAAGATGAAATGAATGAAATGAAGCAAGAAGGGAAGTTTAGAGAAAAAAGAATAAAAAGAAATGAGCAAAGCCTCCAAGAAATATGGGACTATGTGAAAAGACCAAATCTACGTCTGATTGGTGTACCTGAAAGTGATGGGGAGAATGGCACCAAGTTGGAAAACACTCTGCAGGATATTATCCAGGAGAACTTCCCCAATCTAGCAAGGCAGGCCAACATTCAGATTCAGGAAATACAGAGAACGCCACAAAGATACTCCTCGAGAAGAGCAACTCAAAGACACATAATTGTCAGATTCACCAAAGTTGAAATGAAGGAAAAAATGTTAAGGGCAGCCAGAGAGAAAGGTCGGGTTACCCTCAAAGGGAAGCCCATCAGACTAACAGTGGATCTCTCAGCAGAAACCCTACAAGCCAGAAGAGAGTGGGGGCCAATATTCAACATTCTTAAAGAAAAGAATTTTCAACCCAGAATTTCATATCCAGCCAAACTAAACTTCATAAGTGAAGGAGAAATAAAATACTTTACAGACAAGCAAATGCTGAGAGATTTTGTCACCACCAGGCCTGCCTTACAAGAGCTCCTGAAGGAAGCACTAAACATGGAAAGGAACAACCAGTACCAGCCGCTGCAAAATCATGCCAAAATGTAAAGACCATAGAGACTAGGAAGAAACTGCATCAACTAACGAGCAAAATCACCAGCTAACATCATAATGACAGGCTCAAATTCACACATAACAATATTAACTTTAAATGTAAATGGACTAAATGCTCCAATTAAAAGACACAGACTGGCAAATTGGATAAAGAGTCAAGACCCATCAGTGTGCTGTATTCAGGAAACCCATCTCACGTGCAGAGACACACATAGGCTCAAAATAAAAGGATGGAGGAAGATCTACCAAGCCAATGGAAAACAAAAAAAGGCAGGAGTTGCAATCCTAGTCTCTGATAAAACAGACTTTAAACCAACAAAGATCAAAAGAGACAAAGAAGGCCATTACATAAGGGTAAAGGGATCAATTCAAGAAGAAGAGCTAACTATCCTAAATAGATATGCACCCAATACAGGAGCACCAAGATTCATAAAGCAAGTCCTGAGTGACCTACAAAGAGACTTAGACTCCCACACATTAATAATGGGAGACTTTAACACCCCACTGTCAACATTAGACAGATCAACGAGACAGAAAGTCAACAAGGATACCCCGGAATTGAACTCAGCTCTGCACCAAGTGGACCTTATAGACATCTACAGAACTCTCCACCCCACAGCAACAGAATATACATTTTTTTCAGCACCACACCACACCTATTCCAAAATTGACCACATACTGGGAAGTAAAGCTCTCCTCAGCAAATGTAAAAGAACGGAAATTATAACAAACTATCTCTCAGACCACAGTGCAATCAAACTAGAACTCAGGATTAAGAATCTCACTCAAAACCGCTCAACTACATGGAAACTGAACAGCCTGCTCCTGAATGACTACTGGGTACATAACGAAATGAAGGCAGAAATAAAGATGTTCTTTGAAACCAACGAGAACAAAGACACAACATACCAGAATCTCTGGGACGCATTCAAAGCAGTGTGTAGTGGGAAATTTATAGCACTAAATGCCCACAAGAGAAAGCAGGAAAGATCCAAAATTGACACCCTAACATCACAATTAAAAGAACTAGAAAAGCAAGAGCAAACACATTCAAAAGCTAGCAGAAGGCAAGAAATAACTAAAATCAGAGCAGAACTGAAGGAAATCGAGACACAAAAAACCCTTCAAAAAATTAATGAATCCAGGAGCTGGCTTTTTGAAAGGATCAACAAAATTGATAGACCGCTAGCAAGACTAATAAAGAAGAAAAAAAGAGAGAAGAATCCAATAGACGCAGTAAAAAATGATAAAGGGGATATCACCACCGATCCCACAGAAATACAAACTACCATCAGAGAATACTACAAACACCTCTACGCAAATAAACTAGAAAATCTAGAAGAAATGGATAAATTCCTGGACACATACACTCTCCCAAGACTAAACCAGGAAGAAGTTGAATCTCTTAATAGACCAATAACAGGAGCTGAAATTGTGGCAATAATCAATAGTTTACCAACCAAAAAGAGTCCAGGACCAGATGGATTCACAGCCGAATTCTACCAGAGGTACAAGGAGGAACTGGTACCATTCCTTCTGAAACTATTCCAATCAATAGAAAAAGAGGGAATCCTCCCTAACTCATTTTATGAGGCCAGCATCATTCTGATACCAAAGCCAGGCAGAGACACAACAAAAAAAGAGAATTTCAGACCAATATCCTTGATGAATATTGATGCAAAAATCCTCAATAAAATACTGGAAAACGAATCCAGCAGCACATGAAAAAGCTTATCCACCATGATCAAGTGGGCTTCATCCCTGGGATGCAAGGCTGGTTCAATATACGCAAATCAATAACTGTAATCCAGCATATAAACAGAGCCAAAGACAAAAACCACATGATTATCTCAATAGATGCAGAAAAAGCCTTTGACAAAATTCAACAACGCTTCATGCTAAAAACTCTCAATAAATTAGGTATTGATGGGACGTATTTCAAAATAATAAGAGCTATCTATGACAAACCCACAGCCAATATCATACTGAATGGGCAAAAACTGGAAGCATTCCCTTTGAAAACTGGCACAAGACAGGGATGCCCTCTCTCACCACTCCTATTCAACATAGTGTTGGAAGTTCTGGCCAGGGCAATTAGGCAGGAGAAGGAAATAAAGGGTATTCAATTAGGAAAAGAGGAAGTCAAATTGTCCCTGTTTGCAGACGACATGATTGTATATCTAGAAAACCCCATTGTCTTAGCCCAAAATCTCCTTCAGCTGATAAGCAACTTCAGCAAAGTCTCAGGATACAAAATCAATGTAAAAAATCACAAGCATTCTTATACACCAACAACAGACAAACAGAGAGCCAAATCATGAGTGAACTCCCATTCACAATTGCTTCAAAGAGAATAAAATACCTAGGAATCCAACTTACAAGGGATGTGAAGGACCTCTTCAAGGAGAACTACAAACCACTGCTCAAGGAAATAAAAGAGGATACAAACAAATGGAAGAATATTCCATGTTCATGGGTAGGAAGAAGAATCAATATCGTGAAAATGGCCATACTGCCCAAGGTAATTTACAGATTCAATGCCATCCCCATCAAGCTACCAATGACTTTCTTCACAGAATTGTAAAAAACTACTTTAAAGTTCATATGGAACCAAAAAAGAGCCCACGTCGCCAAGTCAATCCTAAGCCAAAAGAATAAAGCTGGAGGCATTACACTACCTGACTTCAAACTATACTACAAGGCTACAGTAACCAAAACAGCATGGTACTGGTACCAAAACAGAGATATAGATCAATGGAACAGAACAGAGCCCTCAGAAATAATGCCACATATCTACAACCATCTGATCTTTGACAAACCTGAGAAAAACAAGCAATGGGGAAAGGATTCCCTATTTAATAAATGGTGCTGGGAGAACTGGCTAGCCATATGTAGAAAGCTGAAACTGGATCCCTTCCTTACACCCTATACAAAAATCAATACAAGATGGATTAAAGACTTAAACGTTAGACCTAAAACCATAAAAACCCTAGAAGAAAACCTAGGCATTACCATTCAGGACATAGGCATGGGCAAGGACTTCATGTCTAAAACACCAAAAGCAATGGCAACAAAAGCCAAAATTGACAAATGGGATCTAATTAAACTAAAGAGCTTCTGCACAGCAAAAGAAACTACCATCAGAGTGAACAGGCAACCTACAAAATGGGAGAAAATTTTCACAACCTACTCATCTGACAAAGGGCTAATATCCAGAATCTACAATGAACTCAAACAAATTTACAAGTAAAAAACAACCTCATCAAAAAGTTGGTGAAGGATATGAACAGACACTTCTCAAAAGAAGACATTTATGCAGCCAAAAAACACATGAAAAAATGCTCATCATCACTGGCCATCAGAGAAATGCAAATCAATACCACAATGAGATACCATCTCACACCACTTAGAATGGCGATCATTAAAAAGTCAGGAAACAACAGGTGCTGGAGAGGATGTGGAGAAATAGGAACACTTTTACACTGTTGGTGGGACTGTAAACTAGTTCAACCATTGTGGAAGTCAGTGTGGTGATTCTTCAGGGATCTAGAACTAGAAATACCATTTGACCCAGCCATCCCATTACTGGGTATATACCCAAAGGACTATAAATCATGCTGCTATAAAGACACATGCACACGTATGTTTATTGTGGCATTATTCACAATAGCAAAGACTTGGAACCAACCCAAATGTCCAACAATGATAGACTGGATTAAGAAAATGTGGCACATATACACCATGGAATACTATGCAGCCATAAAAAATGATGAGTTCATGTCCTTTGTAGGGACATGGATGAAATTGGAAATCATCATTCTCAGTAAACTATCGCAAGAACAAAAAACCAAACACCGCATATTCTCACTCATAGGTGGGAATTGAACAATGAGATCACATGGACACAGGAAGCGGAATATCACACTCTGGGGACTGTGGTGGGGTGGGGGGAGGGGGAAGGGATAGCATTGGGAGATATACCTAATGCTAGATGACGAGTTAGTGGGTGCAGCGCACCAGCATGGCACATGTATACATATGTAACTAACCTGCACAATGTGCACATGTACCCTAAAACTTAAAGTATAATAAAAAAAAAGAGAGAGAGAGATCAAGACCATCCTGGCCAACATGGTGAAACCCCATCTCTACTAAAAATACAAAAAGTTAGCTGGGCATGGTGGCACTTGCCTGTAGTCCCAGCTACTCAGGAGGCTGAGGCAGGAGGATCACTTGAGGTGGAGGTTGCAGTGAGCCGAGATCACGCCACTGCACTCCAGCCTGGTGACAGAGTGAGACTCCGTCTGAAAAAAATATATATATAATTTAAGCACACAACAATACTGAAATATGTGTGGCTGATTAATGAGTGACATATCAATCATATAACTTGTGTTTTTGTGTGACAAATTACTTGTAATATTTGTGTGTTTCTATGTGTGTATGGGTTAAAACTAAAAGAAATAAAGGTATAAAAGGGAAAAAAGTATAAAATAGTTTATAGTTTTATAATTTATCCAAAAAAATAATTTCTATCAAATATTAAAAGATAATTTCTGCAATTATAATTGTAAAATAGTGTGCCACATACTGGTTTTATTAATAAATAGTTTATTGTAAGCAAAATTTCAGGATACATTTTGAGAATTTTATCTAAAATATGTATATATAAATATATGGTTGGAAATTATTTTAAAATGTAATAATTGCTTATTGTAATAAAATACAATATTTCAATTATAATTTAAGAAATATTCCACTTATAGTTTAAGAATGCATTGTTAATATCAGAAATAATTATTTGATTATAATAGTAAATGTTTTTGTGGATGATTTATCATGGGTATTATGAACATGAATTATTAAACTGTGTATATGTTAGTTCTACACAGTGGTACAACCTTACTCCAAATGGCCTTCATTCTTATCTCCATAACTCCTATAGTTTGTTTTATAAAAATTGTTTAAAAAAAAATGGCCTTACTGATGGCCACATGCTATACTCAGTTCTGTTCTTACATCTTCTTCCTCTCATGTAATGTCCTTTCTTCAGCTGCATTGCTTAGAATCAAAGTCTGCATCTCTTCATCTTAGTATTTAAGGGTACAGTGCCTGAACAATAACTAAGCAACAAGTAAATATTAAATAATTAGTGATTACTAAGACCAGATAATCAAACTTTCTGTAACTATAACAAAATAGGCTGTTAGCGAGAAACCAAGGGCTACAAGCAATGTAATTGCACTTTGCCAGAAGTTACACAGTTTTAGATATATTTTCACGCTTTATTTTATCTTATTTCATTTTATTTTTTCAGATCCATACTCATGGGGTCACTTCCAAAAGTTCAAAATAATCTTAGGTTTAACCCTAAGGTAGTTAGCTCATTACATTTTTTCTCTTTTTAAATGATCCAATAGGGTCTTCAAAGTTATTCCTAAGATAGCAAAATTCCCTGAAAGAGAAAATACAGTATATCAAGTACTGATGACATTATTCATTGGAATTAAAGTGACATTTCCTTGCAAGCTATACATTTCTTAAATCATGTGAGAATCCAAGGGGAACAAGCAAAGTAACTGCATTTTGCCAGAAGTTACACATTTTTAGATATATTTTCACGCTTTATTTTATCTTATTTCATTTTATTTTTTCAGATCCATACTCACGGGGCCACTTCCAAAAGTGTGAAATAACTTTAGGTTTAACCCTAAGGTAGTTAGCTTGTTACTTTTTTTCTCTTTCTAAATGATGCAATAGGGTCTTGAAAGTTATTCCTAAGATAGCAAAATTCCCTGAAAGAGAAAATGCAGCATATCAAGTACTGATGACATTATTCAGTGGAATTAAAGTGACACTTCCTTGGAAGCTATATGTTTCTTAAATGATATTTTAAATGAATCTTTCAAATTTCATATGTGACATTTTCTGTCCAAATTTTTTACATACAAAATGAAGAATACATGCCACTTTAATAATTACTTGAGGTTACATTCAAATGAAAGAAAAACATGCAAAGGAAAAACAAAGAAACCTTACTGTTTCGGAGTTAATTTTTCTCAAACATTAATTAATCCCTAAGGCACTAATTCAACTTTGTTGTGTGTCATGATATTAATTTTGCTAGTAGCCCAGAACAGTATAATAAATGTTGGCTCCTTCCTTGTGTAGGAGGGATAAAGTGGATGTTGATCTCTTCCTCTATAGCTCCGGAAGCTGGACGAGAGAATGTAACTAACTAGTCTAAGGTGTGTTGGATGTGATGGTGCTATTTTAGTGTTTTTGGTGGGCTTGGATTCTGCCTTCTGCCATTTTATTAAAAATAACTGGAACAGGGTCATCCACCAATCTGCAGTTGCATCTTACTTTGATAATGAAACGTGCAAGTCATACTATAACATTAATAATTAAGATAAAGCATAATACATTGGAAACTCTCATCTCATTCCCTCATTTTAAGACTAACTTATCTTGTGTTACTCTGGAAGACAATGTAAGTCCAATGAGGGCGGGGGGAGTACAAAGAGAGAAATACTTTTTATATCTCTGAGGAAGAGCTTTTAAACATAATTGCTACTGAAGAAATGATTATTAAAAAAAAAAAAACCAAAATAGCAGAACCGCAAACAATAACAGAGTCAGCAGATTTCTTTGGTACTGCTATATAGTTATGTCATGGACTATATGAAATTTAACGTCTGAAGAAAGTCTTTAAATCTGATAGTATGAATCGTCTAAATTGCTTCTTTTTGAATATGTTTTTGACTATCTAGGTATTTTGTATTTATACATATATATTCTAATCAGCTCAAAACTTAAAAAAAGACAGATAGCATTTGATTAGGGTTGCATTGACTTTATAAATCCATTTTGGGAGAATCAACATCTTAAAAATATTGAGTCTTTCACAACGATATGTCTATTCTTTTATTTAGGTCTTTCTTAATTTCTCTCAGCATTACTTGTAGTTTTCATGGTATATATATTGCAAATGTTTGTTAAGTTTATTCCTAGGAATTCGATGTTTTATAATGCTATTGTAAGTGATACTGTAAGTTTAGTTTTCCAATTGTTTGTTACAATCATTATGCAATTGATTTTTATTGTTAAAATTTATATTTTGACCTTGACAAATTTAAGGGATGTTTTTATTTCTAGTATCATATTTTTAAATTTATTTCTATTTTTCACACACATAAGCATCTCATATGTTAAAAATAGGAGATTTTTGTCTTTGGTTTCAAAACTTAATCATTTAGTTTCTTATTTTTGCTTATTGAACTGGTTAGGTGCTACATTACAGTATTTAGCAGAAGTATTATATAGGTAGGATGGAGGAGGGAAAAACATAAAGTGTGAGAGAAAATGAGCATAAGTAAATAATTAAAAATTTTAAATCGTGTTCTAGAAAGAGACATTCTAATAAAACATTGACGGTGAGGAACATAAATGACTAGAAATATTGAGAAGTTTAAATAAATATATAAGAACCCTATGCAAATTTAATCTAGAATAAATGTAAAAGATGTGTTTCAAACATAAATTGTCGGTATTGATTTGGCAATAGGCAGAAAATCTAGAGATTGATTAAAAAAACAAAAAATGGAAAGCACCTTAGAAATTTTTACTAGAAAATTATTCCAAATCTTCAAGAAAAATAAAATATTCGGGTTAAAAATAAAATATTAGTGCAGAAGAGAGAAAATGAAAGTTTCTCACCTCATTTTACAAGGCTACCAGAATAGTTAGACCAAATCTGACGTTCAAAAGGACCAAATGTATATACTTATATTTTTATCTATACATGACATAAAATAATAAAACGATGCAATTTAATAATAATCTCTCCCAGGCCTCTTCCCTAGCTGCTGGTGATTGGCTGTTGTTTTCTCCGTTTGTCTTAACAAAATACAGGATATCAAGTGTCTTAAATAACATAAATTGGCCGGGCACGGTGGCTCTCGCCTGTAATCCCAGCACCTTGCGGGACTGAGGTAGGTGCATCACTTGAGGCCAGGAGTTTGAGACCAGCCTGGACGACATAGTGAAACCCCATCTTTACTAAAAAATACAAAAATTAGCTCGGTATAGTGGCATGCGCCTGTAGTCCTAGCTACTTGAAAGGCTGAGGCACAAGAATCGCTTGAATATAGGAGGCAGAGGTTGCAGCAATTGGCGATCGTGCCACTGAACCCCAGGTTGGGCAACAGAGCAAGATCCTGTCTCAAAAAAAAAAATTAAATAAATAAGTAGATAAATAAATAATAGAAATGTATTGTCTGACAGCTCTAGAGGCTGAGATCAAGGTGTTGGCAGGGTTGGTTCCTTCTGAGGGCTACAAGGAAGCATCTCTCCTAGCTGCTAGTGATTTGCTGGAAAGTATTCACATTCCTTAGCTTGTAAAATCTTCACCATAATCTCTGCCTTTATCTCCACATGGATTTCAAGTGTCTTGTGTCCAAGTGTCCCCCTTTGAGAAAGACAGCGGTCATACTACAAGTAAGGTCTATTCTTCTCCAGTACCACCTCACTTTAAATAATTTACATCTGCAATGACCCAATTTCCAAATAAAATCAAATCCTGAAGTGGGCAGTTAGGATGAGACACCACTCAACCCATAACAGATGCTAAGTAATTTTCTATCACTTGATTAATTTTAACTTTGTACACTCATATATATATATATATATATAGACACAGCAATTTATAAGACTATTGAATATTATATAATATAGTACTTTCTAAAATTTCAGAGACAAGATATTAACAATAGTATATTCAATAATGCAACAGCTCATGAATAATCATATAATAGTAACTAACCAGCAAATAAATGATGCAAGCCTCACCAAGAAACATTATGATATCATTTCCTTTCAAAAGTGAGTTATAGCATCATCTGTGTATGCCAGCATCTTTAAACCTCGACCTTTTAGAATTGGTAGCTACACTTCTCTTGCCACCACCCTATATCATCTCAGAAGCATTTTCAAAAATATGTTTATCACAGAAATATAAAATTAAAATTGTTTTCCAAATGTGTTAATTTAACAAATCAAAATGGAATTTAAATAGATTTTTAAAGAAAGATAAATATTCCCAAACATAAAATGGATTCCAGTTGTTCATATTTGTTCATATCAGCATCAATCCCAGAGCACCATGATTATTTCACACTTCGGGGAAATCCAGGGCAGGGTTAGTATTTTTATTCCTTAGCACATATCAATAAATTAGTAAACAATTGCTACATGAATAATTAGTGAACAAAAGGCCTACATTCTGACAGTTCATGTTTTGAGAGCTTGTTGTTTCACAATAACATTTAATAATCTTGGCTGGTTTTGAAGAAATTTGATACACTGCCACCAAAATGAGTCATAGAGGTTAATTTTAATTTATGGTCTGGCAGCCATGTTGGAGAAACATATTGAATGAATAAATTTACTCATATACAAATTTACAGTTTACTTTGTTGTGTTCTGACTAGATTCAATAGTGGTCCCTCAGTCCTAGAACAGATAATGGCCCTGTGTGTACTCAACAGGTAACAATGCTGTCATAGCACTTCAGTTATAAGGATTACCCTTTTGTCCCCTATAATGATAACAAGCCAAATGCTTTGATAATGAAATTCTGAGTCAATATCATTGATTTTACTGTTTATAGTGTTCGCTTTCCCAAAACACATTGCAAGCTATATAAAGGGGTGGCTACATCCAACATAAAAAAGCTAATTAGCTCATATTGGTTATCACTGTGGGGACTTGGGTTTGAGAATTTTTTTTTCCTGTGACTCTTAGGCTAAGCTATCTATTGCAACGAGGTAGGGAGCTTTCAGTAAGTAATAAATACTGGTGCTAGAACTTTAACATATTTAAATGATTCCCCAATTTTGGTTTCCTGAAAGTTAGCATCAACATCAACTGAAAACTTGCTAGAAATTCTCAAGAACTGAATCAGAAACTCAAGGGTAAGTCCCCAAAAGTCTGCTTACCCTGCCATCCCAGCAGTTCTTCTACTAAAGTCTTAGAATCACTTGATAAGACAGATTGCTAGGCTTGAGAGGCAAGAGAAGTATCTGAACCATCTTAGTAGTGAATATATAAGTGTTATAGTAAATATGTATTTATTTGTAAATCCAAAAATGCCAATATATGTATATAACTAAAATATATATTTATATTGTCACATACACATATATATTGTTATCATCCAGTGATATACATTGTCAGTATTTTGGTGAATTATATAAATTATTACATTATAGTAAATTGTGGTTTAATTATAATAATATTAGATGGTATGCAGAAGTGCTATTAAAAATAAATTGGAAACAAATGCAATTTGGGTAATATTAATATGGTACAATGATTAAAAGTCAGGTTCCTGGGTTAGGTAAATTATAGGCAAATTCTTAGAAAAAAAGAGAAAAAACTGAAAACTCAGTATCTCAGAGTCTTACTATCTGAAAGTTATTATTGAAAAATATATGATAAATATGAGTCAGCCCTGATATGAAAGGAACTTGGAAGTCATTCCTCCTTTTTTCTCATAATAAAAAGCTGAAAAATCAGTAAACTAATTAATTTCTTGGTTCATCAGAAAACTGAGGTCACCAGGCAAATCATGACCCCCAAATGGTGGAGCCACAGGTGAATCCAGGGAGTTACAGCCAAGATCTGCTTACCAGAGGGAGAATTTCCTTGAAGACACAGTATTAGGGGATGCTCCACACTTCCATGGGAGGATCTAACAAAGATACCTTTGTGGACTAGAGGAAACCATCATTATTAAATATATTCAGAGTCATGTCTATAACAAAGCCTACTCTTCAGGAGAAAGGAATTTGCCAAAATATTATCCAAGCTAGGGGAAGAAAATTCCTCCTCACTCACCCCTTTCCAGGCTGTCTTTATCACCTAGGAGCCCTATATATTCATACAAATACCTGTATGTAAAGATTCATAACTTTTAAAAATAGTTTTTCAAAAGTGGATGTCACCAATATGACTTTCAATAGATGCCTATGTAAACAAAATGTCATACGTTTATATGCAATTGATTACTTTTCAGCAATAAAAGTAATGAGCTATCAAGTCATGCGAAAATATGGACTAATCTAGTCTGAAATGCACAGTTTAAGTGAAAGAACCCTATCTAAAGAGGTTACATACTGCATGATTTCATTTATCTGACATTAAGTGGAAAACTATAGATAGTAAAGAGAATGCTGTTTGCCAAGTGTTTGTGGAAAGAGTAGAATAGCTAGAGCCCAGGAGACTTTTAAGGGCACTGAAGCTATTCTGTATGATAATGTAATGGAGGATATATGACACCATGCAATTGTCAAAACCCTTAGAAGTATGCAGAACTTACTATAACATTTAAGGCATACTTTGATGTATGAAATTTTTTCAGGAAGTCTGAGGATGGAAGGATGAACCCATACTGTAGTAAAATAATCTGTTATTATAAACATATGGAATCACTGAAGTGGAGAGGAGAAAAGGTCTAATTAATTTTGTAAAAGAGTGGAGTCTGAAAGATTAAATGTAAAAGGAACTGTATATAAGTATTGTACTCTAGTTAATAAAGTTGATTCCCTCTCGGGGGAGGGTGAGGGTTTACAATTTTGAAACTGCGATACAAGTTTACTTCAATTGAACAATTAGGTAAGTGAATGTCAAGAGGTGAGATCACGCTGTCACTGTTGGTGCGGGTGGTTACAGACAAGCAACACGAGGAGGCTGAAATGATCCCTGTGCTACTGGATATGAGTTGGAGGCACTGGTAGAAACTAATGTTTAGCAAAATACAGACAGAAGGGACAAATCTCCCATGCAAAAGGATTCCAAGTAATGTAAGTAGATACTCCTTGCCCTCAAGGATGTGGAGCATAACTTTTCATTCATTAAGCTGTGGTAGAGAGTGACTTCTTTCCAAATATTACAGTATGAAAAGGAGAAAAAGAAAGAATAACTTTGCATGGAAGATGCCTGACAAACACTACCTGAACCAGGTGATCACGGTGAACATAAAGACCAACAAACCACATGGGAGTATGTCCCCTTGACATGCTGAGATGAGAATCATGCTTTACCTTTGTGATCTTCCAGTGCAAGCAGGGTAACACAACAGACAAATCCCAAAGGAGAGGCATCCTACAAAATGCCTTATTAATACTCCTCAAAACTGTCAAGTTCATCAAAAACAAAGAAAGTCTTATAAGTGGCCACAGTCAGAAGGAGTCTAAAGCAGCATGACACCTACATGTAATGTGGTATCTGGATGGGGTAATAAAAAAGAAACATATAAGCGAATACTGAGAAAATCTGGAAAAAGCATAGATTTTAGTTACTGATAATGTTTTTTAAAATGCTGATGCTTCTATTACACTTCAGTTCATAGCAAGTAAATTGTGAGTTTTTATCAGCTTCTCAACAAATAGAGATCATAACCATTCATTCATTCATCCATCTACCATTTAAGTAATACATACTGAATATTTACTGCTTATATGTGTGAATACTAGCTAGCAGAGAAGGGTGAGTTGACAACATCTACAGCACATCATGTCACTCAGTCACAGATGGATACGAAAAGCTTATTTGTGTACAAAAAATGGAAATACATGTTTTAGAACACTGTTAAACTGAGAGATTTGTGGAGCTCTGGGTTGCTATGTCATATGGCTATTGTTAACAAAAATCGGTTTTGAGATATTGTGGCTATCAAGCTGACAAAGGGAGGCAATGTACTCTTCAAAAGAAAGATGTCCCCAGATTCTGGTGGAAGGCTGAGGTGAAATAAAAAATACTCCCAGAAAATAAGATAATTAGGGGCTTGTGGAAATAAATTAGAGGATTATTCCCCCACTTTATTGTGGTATAATTGACAATAAAAATTTACATGTAAGATGTACAACTTGACATATTGTGTGTGTATATATATATATAATATTAACAATAGAGCTAATTAACATATCTATCACCTCACATAGTAAGCTTTTTTTTTTTTTTTTGGTTAGAACCCTTGAAGTCTAACTTGTAAGAAAATTTTAATTACACAGTACAGTATTGCTAAGTATAGTCACCATGTTGTACATTGAATTTCCAGAATTTATTTATCTTGCATGACTTAAACTTTGGACCCCTCGGTTAACATCTCCCCATATCCTCCTCCATCCAGCCTGTGGAAACCATCATTCTACTGTCTGTTTCTATGAGTCTGACATTTTTATATTCTACATATAAGTGGGATTGCACAGTATTTGTCTTTCTGTTCCTGGCTTATGTTACATAGCATGATGTCCTCCAGATTCATCCATATTGTTTCAAATGGCAGGACTTTTTTTCTTTTATAAGACTGAATGGTAATCCATTGCATATATACATACATATATATATAATATAGATATATATAGATATATAATATAGATATATGTAGATATATAATATAGATATGTATAATATAGATATATATATTATATATAATATATATTATATAGATATAATATATATATAAAATATAGATATATATAGATACATATATATGCCACATTTTCTTTATCCATTCATCTTCCAATGGACATTTAGATTACTTTCATATCTTGACTATTGTGAATAGTGCTGCCACGAACATGAGAGTGCAGGTATCTCTGCTATGCCAATTTCATTTGCTTTGGATATATACCTAGAAGTGTGATTACTGGATTATAATGTAGCTCTATTTTTAAGGTTTTGAGAGACTATACTTAACAATACTGTTTTCTATAATGACTGTGGCAATGTTTACTCCTACTAATGATGTACAAGTGTTCCCTTTTCTTCACATCTTATCTCCACGGCATTTGTTATCTTTCACCCTTTTGAAAATATCCATTCTAACAGG
This sequence comes from Homo sapiens, assembly GCF_000001405.40. Lineage (NCBI taxonomy): Eukaryota > Metazoa > Chordata > Mammalia > Primates > Hominidae > Homo > Homo sapiens. Next base: position 137,548,789 of record NC_000008.11, on the reverse strand, counting down.
TGTGAGGTGATATCTCATTGTTTTAATTTGCATGTCTTTAATATGTTGTTAAAGAGTACAACAGAAATATATTGCTTTAATTTAATTAGTTATTAATAAATATGTAAAATACATAGATACAGTGTATATTAAGTTGAAAAGGGATTTTCTTGTTCCCTTTATAGACACATTTCTATTCTCCTGTATTAAGCATGACTTTGAGTTTCATATGTATGTTTCTACACTTTTTAATTACTATTCAAACTTTCATATAATTATACATACATGCACATATATGTATATGTGTATAGATATATGTGCTTGAATCTGATTCATGCATACATACTACATTTTATATAACAATTCTACTGCAATGTCTGAACACCAGCAATATTAACATCACCTGGGGAATTCTTAGAAGTGCAAATTTTTAGATTCTACTTTAGAGTTTTATTCTCCAGGTTACAGGTAATTCTTAAGCACACTAAAGTTTGAGAAATGTGTATGCATACGTATATATATATATATATATATATATATATATATATATATATATGTATCATAGAAAAATGAGTAAATACATGTATTTTGTGTGTATGTATATAATTTTGTACTAGTACAATTTTATGTATTAATTTACAGCTTGTTTAACTTAAAATAAAGCAATATACCTTTCCATAAAAACACACATAGATCTCTTTCTCTAGAGCTGCATTATGTGCGAATAAATGGGTATTATAAATGTATTTCATAGACATAGTTTTTCTTTTTCTAATTACTGTTTTATCATTACAAATAGTGTTGGCAATGTGCACCTTGGCTTATATTCATCATCACATTTTCATTAAGAAACGGCATAGAATTTTGGAAAATGGTCTGATTTTTGGAGTTATGTAGACTGAGAGAACTCTGGTTTAATTTCTTACATGAGAGTATCACAGAGAAATTTTGAGAATGGAATAGAATGTGTGTGTAATACCCAGCGCTGTGCCTGGCACCCAGTGTTTCTAATAATATAAATTGAGACATTGTGACATGCAGGGTGCAAAGTTATATTGGGGTAATTTATATCAAAATATGCACCATGTATAAGTATATGGACATAACTGCACACATGATATGGATAACAACTTTCAGAAAGAATCACCTTTGGGCTATAATATTTTCCTTCCTCACCACAATTCCATCACAAATAATTGATTACCTGAACTCTCTTTTCAGCAAGATGTCTTTCTAACCCAGATGCCATCTGCTGTTGGGTCTATTCTATTGACTTTTTACTGGTCAAATACATCAGAACATGTTTAATACCCTAGGGGAACAAAAAGAAATAAGTAAAAAAGTAATTTTCTTTTGTCTTGCAACAGGGGGATTTTTGGTCTTTATGTTGGAGTGACTTGCCAAAAAAAGATAATGGTCCATTTTGCCCTACCCAAACACGATTAGCAAAAGCACTTCTCATATCTTTGGAAGTAAAATATTATCCACTGGGCATTTAAAAGGTAGTAAACACAGATATTGGAAAAGCTCAGCAGTATAGATAATTTTCACAATTAATCATTAGATATTCTGCTTTACTCATAGGGCTTCAGGAAGGACTGTGTGAAGCAATTGTTATCAAGCATTGTATCATGGGAAATATATTTAATGAAAATACATTCTGAGCTTTTTAGCAAGTGCCGCCATTTTTAGTAGTTTTGTTCCAAAAAGTGTCATCACTGCATCATGAGTGAGCTACTAATTATCAAAATGTACATCACAATGCTTGTATTCATTTTCTAGGCCTTCTATAACAAACTACCACAGAAGCAGCAGCTTAAACAACAGAAATGTATTTTCTCATTTTCTGGAGGCTAGATGTCCAAGACCAGGTATTCGTTGGTTTGGTTTATCCTTGACCCGTCTCCTTGGCTGATAGATGGCTGGCTCCCCTCTGTGTTCTGTCATGGATTTTCTTCTATGCCCACACGTCATTGATGTCTTTACATAGTTCCAGATTTTCTCTTCTGAGAGGTACACCAGCCATATTAGATTAGTGTCCACACTATTGATCTCATTTTCACTTAATCATTTCTTTAAAGGTCCTTTTCTCAAATATGGTCATATTCTGAGGTACTGGAGGTTAGGGTTTCAACATGTGAATTTTGTGAGGACACTATTTATCCCACAACAATGATACTTTTAATAATTAAAATGATGGCGATGTTCTAAATATTCAATAAAATCTGAATGATTAAATGCTTATATTATATCTACAGATTAATTATTATACAACCATCATATATGAGATAATTTGTTTTATGGTGACTGCACTTTAATGGCTATGTAATACTACATCGTATACAGATGCCAGTTGGAATTTAAGCGATATTATTAACATAGGAAAATGCTCCGGCCAACACTTCCTTGAGTGAAAATAAGCAATATGCACACTTCCATCTAACGAATGTCATAATCATGTGAAAAGAAGTATACACAGAATTGTCCTTAACTAGAAATAATAGTCAATTATTCAGTATAATTATTTTTATTTCTTTTCAAATTTGTCTATCTTGCAGAATATCTGTAACGAGTTTGTATTAATTGTGTAAGGAGGAAATTATGCTAGACCTTTACAACAATATAATAAAATTCCTTAATTAAAATAAGAATGAAAATTGTTAAAAAATATAGATCACTTGTGGAGGTCCGTTAGGGTCAGCTGTGGTCTTAGACACTGCTGCCTGAGAGAAACAGGAACGAGAAAATTGTGCTTTCAGTCGGTAGCATAGCTCTAAACATATATACAAGTGTTTTAGTAAATATATATTCTTATATATTTTTCTCCTGATTTATAACTATTTTCCCTGCCAAGAAATGAAGACTTGATGTTAGTGAAAATGTTAGTATAAGGAACTTCAAATTCTGCCCCTCCACAAAGACAATTAAAAACTGGAAAACTGTCAGAATCAACTTTTCTGAATTCTGGAAATGAACCAAAGGCTTGCAGCCACCCAAAGAAACACTTGTTCATTACAAAAGGCTAATTTTTGGTAATAACGGTACATTTTGTGCCATTTTAACTTACCCTAGCCCCATGTTCCACAATCCAGTATTCTCTGTAGGATACAGAGATGAATGGATCTTATTCATAAAGAATTATAATTAATTATTTGTTTTTACCTGGCTTGTGGCTCCCTGATAGACTGGCTCAAACGGATTATCATAATTTTGCCTAACTTGAAATTGGCTTAATGCCAAAGTTGCTTCCTAGGTTGGATGGGGAGTATTTGCAGAAAACATTTACAGGCTGTTGTCTCAGTTGCTGCTGCGTGTGGGCTATAGATAACAATAGACTAACCAAAAAACTTAGAAGAAACATCTAGGGAATAAGATATCTTTAAGAGGTTTGAAAACCTCTAACATATTCCAGGAATGTAGAATGATATACACATGCTAGGAAAGATCTAAAAAGACCCTCTACTCTCACCTCCTACTGATATTGACAGTCTTTGGCAGCAGGAAGTAAAAGATAAGGCAAAGTTGTAAACTGCCCAGTGAATGATGAAGGCATGCCACAACAAACAAACATAGCCTCATGGAAAGACTGGAAGATTTATGGTACAAGGCATTTAAGAAAACCTCTCTCCAATATGACATTGACCACCAAAATAATGGAACAGAAAATTCAGGGGCCACACACAACAAAGAATATAGACTTAACAGAATTATTTCAAAAAAGTAACTAAACAAAATGAACAACAACAGAAATAAGCAATAACAATAACAGATCCTGAGAAAGAGAAGTAATATGATTTTCAGTGTTATCGAATTATAATATTCAAATTCCAATTTTCAACCCCAAATTGCAAGGGATTAAAAAAGATAGAAAGGATGGTTCATACATAGGAAAAAATAAATTACAAAAACTTATGCTTGAACAAGCCCAAATGTTAGAACTTCTAGAGAAAGATTTTAAACCAGTTATTTTAAATATGCTAAATGAAACAGAAACCACACCTCAAGAATTAAGAGAAAGTATGAGAGTGATATTGCAACAAATAGAGAATATCAATAAAGGGATAGAAATTTGTAAAATTAGCCAAATAAAAATTCTGAAGTTGACAAGTACAATTGATATGAAAATTCTCTAGAGGAGCTCAACAGCAGATTTGAGCAAACAGAAAAAAGGAATCAGTGAACTTGAATAGGTCATTTGAGGTAATTCATTGTGAGGAACAGAAAAAATCAAGAATAAAGAAAAATAAAGAGTGCTTAAAAGGCTTTGGAACACCATGAAGCACAATTACATTCACATATTTGAAGTTCCAGAAGGATGAGAGAAAGTAAGAGAAAAAAGGATATTTGAAAGAATAACGACTCAAAATTTATCAAATTAGACACAAAACATCAATCTACATATATAAGAAGCTGAACAAAGTCCAAGTAGGAAAAAACTTAAAAAGAGTCACATGGAATTACATCCTTATTAAATTGTTGAAAACAAGAACAAAGAATCAAGAAAGCAGCAAGAGAGAAGCAATCAATAGTACAAAAGGCTCTCAATAAGATGAACAACAAATTTTTCATCAGAAACTTCTGGAAACCAAAAAGCAGGGAGGTGACATACTCTAATTTTTGAAAGAAAAATATATGGGAACCAAAGAATTCTATATTGGACAAAAGTGTCCTTCAAAAATGAAGAAGAAATAAAGACATCAATAGATAAAATGTAAGAGTTTGTTACTGTAAGGTCTGTTCTCCAACAAATGCTAAAGAGAGCCTGTGGGATGGAAAGAAAGACCACTAGACAGTAACTCAAATCACATTTAAAAAAGAACACTGGAAAGATAACTATATAGGTAAAAGAAAGACATTATACATGCATTTTTCTTTGTATTTTGAAAATCTAATTTAGAAGACAACTGCATAAAGCAATAATACTTAATTTTGGCTGATGGGCAAACTATGTATAAAAATGCAATCTATGAAAATGGCTGCATAAAATTTAGGAAAAAATATATAAGAACAACATTTTTGTATGCTATTAAACTTGTTTGTATTAATCTAATTAGATTATTATATTTAAAATTTTAATTTTTATCTCCATAGTAACTACCAAGAAAGTATCTAAGGTAATATAGAAAAATGTATAATTAATATGATCCATGAGAAAATATCTATTTAATTTAAAAAGTCAGCAATGGAGGAATTAAAGAACAAATAAGACATAACACATATAGAAAATAAATAGTAATATTGCAGGACTAATTTCTACCTTATCAGTAATTACATTAATTATAAATAAATTAAACTCTAATTTAAATTTAGCAGAATAGATTAAAAACAAAACATAATCCAACTATACACAGTCTATAAGAGACTCACTTTAAATTCAATTATACAAATAGGGTTAAAGCAAAAATATAAAAAAATTAATTGCAAACAGTACTCAAAAGAGAACTGAAGTAACTGTATTATCAGACAAAATAGACATTAAAATAAAAATCATGGAGTGACAAAGAAAGACATTATGTAGTGATAAAGTTTCAATCAATCTAGAAGATATAATAATTATAAACATATAAGCGCCTAAGAACAGATAACCAAAACGCATAAAACCAAACTGACAGAATAAAAGGTAGACAAATCAACAATTATAGTTGGAGCCTACAATACTTCACTTTCTGTAATGGATAGAACCACTAGACAGAAAGTCAATGAGGACGTAGAGGATGTGAACAACACCATATACCAACTATTAGGTTGGTGCAAAAGTTATCACGGTTTTTGCCATTACTTTCCAAAGTAATAGGGGTAAAAATTGCAATTACTTTTGCACCAGCCTAATAAGTCACAATATGTATATTATATGTAAACAACAATAGGTAAAAAATAATAAAATTCATGTGATCACTTCAACACACACTAAATGGTCATGTGGCAAAATCCAACATGTTTTCATAGTAAAAATACCTAATAAACTTAGAATTGAAAAAGACTTCTTGGCTGGGCGCAGTGGCTCACACCTGCAATCTCAGCACTTTGGGATGCTGAGGCAGGTGGATCACTTGAGGTCAGGAGTTTGAGATCAGCCGGGCCAACATGATGAAGCCCTGTCTCTATTAAAAATACAAACATGAACTGAGGATGGTAGTGCATGCCTGTAATCCCACCTACTTGGGAGTCTGAGGCATGAGAATCACTTGAACCCAGGAGATGGAGGCTGTAGTGAGCTGAGATTGCACCACTGCACTCCAACCTGGGTGACAGAGTGAGACTCTGTCTCAAAAAAATAAAAGAAAAAGAAAAAAAATGAGAAAGATTTCTCAATCTGAAAAAGAACAAAAGAACAATTGTGAAAACTCCACAACAAACATTGTACTTAAATGTGAAAGGCCAAAGTCTTTTTTCTAAGGTCAGGTGTAAGACAAATATGTTTATTCACACCATTCCTCTTCACATCACATTGGAGGGTGTAACAAAAAGAAAAAAAAAATGAAAAGACAGAAAAAAGGAATAAAAAAGGACTAAAAAATGTTCATTTGCATAGGAAGAAATAATAAAATTATCATTATTTGCAGATGACATTGTCTTATGTATAAGAAGGACCTACTTCTCTCCCACCAAAGAAAACCAAACAATACAAAAAGAAACCTATTAGAGCTAATAAATAAGCTTAGCAAAGTCGTAGAATACAGAATCAACATAAAACATCAGTTGGATTTCTATATACTAACAAAGAATTATCTGAAAATAATATTGAAAAAACATGGCATACAAAAGAATAACATACGTAGAAATTAAACAAACGTGCAAGACATACATTAAAATCTATAAAACATTGTGTGTAATTGGCTTATAATAGAATAAATAGGATTGTGTGTAATAATTTCATAATTATTATGATTTTACTACTTTTTGGGTGATTACCATGGGTATGAATTCCAGAAACTAACACCAGACCAGATACTAGGTTGTGTGACAATGAAATATGAAAGGGTCTGAGGACAGAAAAGTCAAAGCCCAAGTAAATTACCAAAAATAGAATGCAAATACAAACTGTAAAATGTTTCTAGGTCTCTGACAGTAGTCAGATAAGTCACTTAAATTATGGGCAAGAATCTTGAGATATTAGCAAAATAGGGACTGAATTTCTGAATTTAGGATTGAAACACCTTGGTGTCTCCCCTTCAGTTACATTTCCTCCTCTCACCTCCTCATACCCCCAAGAATCAATTCAACTCCTAGCTGAAAAGGCCATCAGATGGACGTCCAGGCAGACATTTTTTGGGCAGCTTCCCTGCAACTGAATTTTATACTACCATCACAAGGATTTTGCAGTGGATTTGACATGATTTTTCATTATTCCCTAAATGTCCCACTGATATTGCAACTGGAACAATAAGCCCAATAGATATATTCCAGCGTTCCCAAGAATGACCTAAGTTGTATGTCATTCTGAAAAGTTTCTCTAAATTAAGATTCTCAATCTTAGGACTTCTTTGTCTACACCTTTCTGTTCCATAAAGCATTAATATAAAAGAAAGTGAAAATGCTAAGTATTTTATTTTCTTACTATATTTTCCTGCTAAATGGCTTCAGGGTAGAAATTGCAAATTGCAGAGCTCCCAGATAGGAAATGCCAGTCGCCCCATCTGTTAATACAACAAGCATAAAGTCCTTGTGCTAGGCTTTGAGGATGCTGTTGCTTTGCAGCGTAAGGACAACTAGTCCATCTGGCCTTAACAGTCGTGTTGCTAGAGCCTCAATTTGAACAGATGGATTCTTGGATTAATAAATTGAAAAGACCAGCTGATGTGTTGGCTCAGTGTATTTTTATCAACTGTAAGGTGGGAAGAGTTGGAAGTAAGTGTGGCAATATTTCTGATCTAATTATTGTCACCTTCAAGGACATAAAAGATATCAGATACTTTAAAGGAAACAGTGAGAGACTTTGATTCTATATCAAAGGTCAGCAAACCTCCCAAAGGGTAAGACAATTTTTCTGGATTCTTTGTAAAATGCCAAGATACAAATGAAAAAGAGATATTAATTAGTAAAAAAACAAAACAAAAAGCACTTTGTCTATGAAGAAGAACACAACCATGTGAATGGAAGGGTAGAAATAGTTTATCCATTGATATATTTTTTGGTTGAGAAATTAATTCATACATTCATTTACTCAATAAATGGTTATTGAATATGGGAATCTGCAAATATGCCTCAAATTTTCTTTCTACACTTATCTCTTATCATGGATAGTTGTACATCTTATACTGTAACAACACTGAACTAATTACAGTTATTGGAAACCACGGTGCCCTTTTCTGTTTCTAAATGGCCAAGTATATATTCATTTGTAATACTCATTTTTCTACATAGGATTTACCAAATCGTTTTTAAGATCTTGTTTGAATTTTACATTCATGACATTACCTAAGATTTTTTAAAGCAGTTAATGTGCATTTTGTTACATTCCTACAAACAATCTACAACTTTGCAAGTGCAACTATTCTAGAAAGATGAATAGGCAAGTCATGGAAGTTACCTGTGTGCCAAACAAATTCTTACACAGATGTATTAGTCTGTTCTTATATTGCTATAAAGGACTACCTGACACTGGCTAATTTATGAAGAAATGAGGTTTAATTGACTTATAGTTCTGCAGGCTGTACAAGAAGCATGGCTGGGAGTCCTCAGGAAACTTATGATCATGGCAGAAGGGTGAAGGGGAAGCAAGCATGTCTTCACATGGCAACAGGAGAAAGATGGTAAAGGAGGTAATGCTACACATTTTTAAACAACCAGATCTCATGAGAGCTCACTCACTATCTCGAGAACAGCAAGGAGGGATAATACACCTCCATGATCCAATCACCTCTCACCAGGTCACCCCACCAACATTGAGGATTGGAATTCAACATGAGATTTGGGTGGGGACACAGAGCCAAACCATATCAATAGATATTTGAAAAAAACAAGAATCTGGGTGTAAAACTCACCCTGGAGGAAAAAAAAAGCCTTAAAAATGGAATAGAACTATAAAAGTCAAATTAGTATCCTTGATGGCTTTCAGAAGGATATCGCATCCATACAAAAGAGAACTGGAATGCCCAAGAAAGTCAGGGTCAAACATTCAGAGAAAAGGAGCAGCTGAGTGAAGACTAATGGGCTTGGGCCTGGAAGATGGGAGGAAGGGGCAGAAGACAGAGCTGAGTTTGAAGCATTTGAGCTAATAAAGTCTCTAACTACCTCCGTCACAGGCAAATGATTCACAGCCCGTCTACCTTCCAAGCCCATTAATGCCCTGTTTAAAATATCCGGGAGATGGATTACTGTACTAACTACTTTGCACACTGGATTTACAGGGAGGATTTAGTGAAATACTACCTCTTCCAATAAATCACACTATGAATATTGATTGTGGTGCCCTCTACTTATCGAAAAGTTTTATGTGTTTCATAAAAAAAAATGCAGTGACTGTTTCAGTGGAAGGGTTTGGAGGGGAAAGATCTTGTCGAGAAAACAAATCTATGGATGGGTTCTAAAATAGGTGATGCCAGTGTTTACAGCATGAGCAATGAGTACATAACACAGCACTGCCAATTGGGACCAATTTATTAGATGCTATACAAGTGCTAAACTGCCTTAAATCAATAGTTTGCAAGACAGCAGAAGGTTGGGCATGATAAGTCATCATCTTAATGAAATATGGATTATTCCAAAACTATTAAACAAGTAGTTGGTGTCAAGAAAATTGTTCACTTTTCAGAGCTAAACAAAACCACCTATTTCAGAGCAGAGAAATCAATAGACATCCGTGGCCTGCCATGTAGCTTAAATATATAAATACATATATGGTTAAAATTTCTCATTGACAGCTGGCTGGGTTATATGCTCTTCATTGTTATTTAACTTCTGAAAAATAATTTTATATAGCGTTTGCGAAGGAAAGAATAGAAGAAAGTACTCCCCATCTCCCTCATCTTTATTTTTCTTCTCCTTTCTTTTCTCCTCTTTTTCTTTGCTGGCTTTTATGGATCATCTATTATGTGTTTATCAATACTGTCCTTAGTTATTTGTCCAGATTATTTTAGATAGTATTTAAAACAATACTGAGGAATGGAAATTATTACCCTATTTTTCTACCTAAGGAATAGATGTGAAGGTAAATGATCCCTAGGTCTCTAGCTAATGTACAGCAGATCTTGGGAATTCTTGGCTTCCATGATCATGTAAGTTAATTCCCATAATAAATTTCCTCTTTCTGTTTCTCTGGAGAATTATAACTAGTACAATAGAGTTGGAGAACAATTATGTAATCTGCCTGAAGTTAAACAGTAAGTGTAGAAAGGGCATGGAATTCAGATATTTTAATGAGCTTTGCTTTTTATTGGGAGGTCTGGTGAACATAAAATCAATCTTTACATAGAAATCAAATGGCCTTATGGTGTACAAATTCCTCTTTACAGGTCTCCCTCCTTTTAAGCGGCATAGTGCTGTGCCTTCTTCTGAGAAAAACACTTCCCAAACAGGTATTTCCCCCATGTGACCCATCATCAAACAGACTATGGATCTTGGTCAATAATACAGATTCTGCCAACCATCCGTGAGTTATTCATACAAGGAAGATTTTTAAGTGGAAGTCTGGAGACTTTTATTTGTTTGGGGGGGTTCCCATGGCAGTATTAAGGGAAACATTCAAATAACATATCTCAAGCTACTTGCTGAGATCTGTGGATTCTGAAATCTGCTATTGAAGCCTCATATCCTCAAATAAAGGAGTAAGAAAGAAAAATCAGTTCCTTTTCTTTGTCCAAGTGGTCTTTCTTTCCACTCCATTTTATTTCCTTGCTCTCTCTCTTTTTTTTATTTTTATTTTTTTGAGACAGAGTCTCGCTCTGTCTCCCAAGCTGGAGTGCAGTGGCGCGATCTCGGCTCCCTGCAAGCTCAGCCTCCCGAGTTCACGCCATTCTCCTGCCTCAGCCTCCCGAGTAGCTGGGACTACAGGCGCCCGCCGCCACGCCTGGCTAATTTTTTGTATGTTTTAGTAGAGACGGGGTTTCACCATGTTAGCCAGGATGGTCTGGATCTCTTGACCTCGTGATCAGCCTGCCTCGGCCTCCCAAAGTGCTGGGATTACAGGCGTGAGCCACTGCGCCCACCCTCTCTGATCTCTTCTTGTATTACTTTTTATTAATGCCATCAGTACCTTTCCTACCCCTCACCATCTGAGTACATTATAGATATATTTTAACAGGTTTTCATGCATTCTTTGGCTCATACATTCAATAAATATTAAGTGCCTGTTTTGTGACAGCTATGGTGCTATTTAATCATCATGGCAAAACTGTAAGGTACATTCTATTATCAACAGCTTTTATAGATGGTGATTAAGATTGTTCCTTGATTTACATTAAGTAGAATATTCAGAACTTGATTTAATTTCTTTTTCTTCTCTTTTTTTTTTTTTGAGACAGAGTCTTGCTCTGTCACTCAGGATGGAGTGCAGTGGCACCAACTTGGCTCACTGCAACCTCTGCCTACCGGGTTCAAGAGATTCTCCTGCCTCAGCCTCCCAAGTAGATGGGATTACAGGCACACGCCACCACACCCAGCTAATCTTTGTATTTTTAGTAGAGACAGAGTTTCACCATGTTGGCCAGGCTGGTCTCAAACTCCTGACCTCAGGTGATCCACCCACCTCGGCCTCCCAAAGTGCTGGGATAACAGGCGTGAGTCACAGCTCCCGGCCTGATTTAATTTCTTATAATAGAGAGGTAGAATCTTTCCAAGGTGTTTCATGTATGTCAGCTCACTTGGACCCTTAATAACTTTAATGTTTTCCTTCTATAACTAAGTACACATATTAATTTATTCTTTATAAGTATTTTTAAGATGCCTTTTAGTTATTAGGTGCTGAGGATAAAATGATGAGTTTAAAAAATACATCCACCCAGGTTTCCAAAAGCTATAGTCTTTGGAAGGCTGAGGTGAGATAATTGCTTGAGCCCAGAAGTTTGAGAACAGTCTGGACAACACAATGGGACTCTGTCTCTAAAAAAAGATAATAATATAAAAATATAAAAAATTCACTGGGTGTAGTGGCATGCACTTGTATTCCCAACTACTCCAGAGACTAAGATGAGAATATTGCCTCAGCTTGCTGAGCACAAAATATGTACCCAAATAATACAAGATTATAAATTATGATTAATGTCATTAAGAAAATTATAAATTGCTATTAGACAACAAAATGGAGAGAGGCTTGTAGGGTGAGCACAACTTCCCTGAAGAAGCAATTTGTGAGGTGATTTTTTTTTTTCTTAGACAGGGTCTCACTCTGTCATCCAGGCTGGAGTGCAGTGGTGCAATCACAGTTCACTGCAGCCTCAACATCCTGGGGTCATGCAATCTTCCCACCTCAGCTTCCTGAGTAGCTGGGTCTACAGGTGCATGCCACTGCACACAGCAAATGCTTTTATATTTTTATTTGTTTTTTTTTGTTTGTTTTTTGTAGATACAAGTTTCTGCTATGTTGTCCAGGCTGGTCTCGAATTTCTGGGCTCAAGCAATCCTCCTACCTCAGCCTCCCAAAGTGCTGGGATTACAGACATGAGCCACAGCGCCTGCCCTGAGGTGATTCTTGCAACCTGAAAGAGCATGAATGAGGCAACATGGGGAAACTTGTTCTGTACATCATGAGCAAAAGCGCTGAGTCAGCCAGAGGCATGGCAGCATGAAGGAAATGAAAGAGAGACGGAATGGCTGAGCAGACTAAAAAAAAAGGGAAAGTCAATATTGGGCTACAGAGCTAGAAAGTGCAAAACTATGATAGAGTTTTCAGGTTGTGTGAGCATCTAGGTCTGTACACTTGGAAAAAGAGACATGAAAGGATACTGAACAGCAGAATGATGCGAGCAGGCAAGCTGGAGCACAGGAGGCTTGCTCTCCACCCTGTGATACCTCCTCCACTAGGGTGAAATGTCATCTTTCACACCCTTCAGGGTCCTGCCTGTTTGCCTTCACACCCACATGCATCTGCTACCTGCTCACCTCTGCAGATATCACACAGACCTGTGGCATTCCTCGTAAAGTTTCAAAGATAATACAAGCTTCATGCACTGTCCCATGAAACGTATGCACAATCTAGTGGGACTAACAAGTATATAAACAGGTGATTATCCACCTACGTGATCATTAGAAGCCTTGGCTTTTGGAAGAGAGTGACATTCTCTCTTTGTCATAATACAGTTAACCAAGCTTGGTAGTTAGGATGACTCCTAGGGCTCACATTGAGAAAAGGTGTGAGAGAAGCTGGAAGAGTAGGTGAAAATGTGAGTCTGAATAACATGGTGGATGTGTGCAGCAGTAAGGCAGAGATGCCTAAGAGCGTGCATCAAAAGACCTAGAGGTGTAAAACGAAGCTGTATTAAAGGGAGATGTCAGAAAATGACCAGGTGATAAATTAGAATAGTAGAAACAAAGGTGGGAAGATATATTTAGCCTTCAAATAGAGCTTGAGGAAGATATTTCTTCCTTTGAGTTGATGGCACAATGGTTGTGGAGGCCGTAATAACACAATTCAAGGTAATGCATGTGATTTGTAAATATTTGGAATCCGTGCTGCCCCGCACCGCCCACAGTCCATTGACGGATTGCATAATAATCTTGTAAAAATCCACACCAAATGTTATAAAGTAGGAACCCCAACCACATTTGTCTTCCCTGGAAAATAAATGCTCAATTTTTTATTAAGTAATGAGTGATATAATGCAATTTGCTTCTTTACATTAATTACCAGACTTTCTGAAATAGTTTATGCTGTGCTTTTCCATTGCTTTAGGTGTTGAATTGATTTATTTCTCATCCCGTGCTACAATTCTTTATTTAAAAAACATAGTTTAGCATGTGTATCCTTTTATTTTTCAAAAATGCATGTGATTTTTAAAGCATGTAACTCCAAATCCTGTTTCACATGGTGACATAATGTGTACAAAAAGGAAAGTAATGTATGAGTGTCCTTTGTTCATTATCTGTCAGTGCATTTGTCCATGATTATGATGCACCGAATTTGTTAGCAGTAAAGCACGTCTATTTAATGATCAGCCTAAGCTGATCCATGGTGATGTCTTTAAAGTTGGCCTTTAATGTGTGAGAAGTACTAGTATCCTGGTGCTGTCTGTTTTTAGCAGTTTTACCTCTTGTGCATTCATTTTCTATTTGCAAATGGGGACAACACAAACTATTACAACATTGTGAGGATTAAGCAATACAGTGACACCAAGCAGGCTGTCAGGAAGAGATACTCCCTTTTCTCTTTAATAATTCCTCCCAAGCGGAAGTATTTAATGATTCTAACAAAGAAAATAGCTAGCAAGATTTAAATTTTATTCCTACCAAATAGTGCTGGTGAACATAGAGGGATAAGATGCTAATAAAAATCTCCTCTAATTTCTCAAGGCTGCTAAATGAAGCTGGGAACAGCAAAGCACCAGTATTCTTCAAAGACATTTGCAATACTTCAGCCTGTACTCCTTTCCTGAAATACCTCTCATACCAGCTTTTGTACTTTAGCTTCACACTTTGAGTTCTCGGCCCAGCTGGAACTGCAAAGTGTTAGGAAAGGAAGAATAAAATTATTAGCATTTAATGTTCAGTGAACGTTATAATTTTGAAAACTCTCTGCCTAGGAGAACTTATACTCTGGACAATAAATGTAGGAAGATACAGGAAGACATTTTGGCACTTAAAAATTAAGTAGTCAAAAATAAATCCTTCAGGCCCAGTTGGTTTAGAAGGTAAAACAAGTGTCCCGTTTGCCAATACAACATGAATACACAATTCAAGGAGGAATTTTTTATTCTTTTCTGGGAAGTCCTTTTATTATAATTCTTCTCATCATGAACACTATCTTAAGAATATTGCCAACATTTCTGTTAAGCAGAAACATTGCATTCCAGTGCCCCCAACTTGCTATGAAATGTAAAGAAAAATATGATTACTGTTATGTGGTTTCCACATAAGGAGTTTGTCTCCTGTCTTTGTGCATAGCACTTGCTATATCCAGAATATTTTTCCCTTCTCTCTACCTTGCAAACTTTCATTTGTCTTTTGAATCTCAGCTTATCTGTCATTTCATCTAAAAAGTCACCCAAACACTTTCTATACATAAAAATTAACTACTTCCTTTATCTTGATGTGTGCACTCTAAACAACAACCACTCTTTGTCAAGCCAAGAGCTCAGCATTTTATTTACATTATATAATTTAATCATCATAAGCATCAATGTATTATTGTCTTCATGGTGCAGGTGTTGAAACCTAGGTAACTTGGATTCAGTTATTCACCCAAAGTCACCTTGTAGATGTCTGGACCTATATTTGAATCTGGATATACCTGGCCCCAGTATTGGATCTCAAACTGACCCTGCTTTACCTTTTTTCATAATTCTTTTACCCACCTTTGATATAGGTGGATAAATTACTCAGACCTGTTATATTTTGTGGCATTTGGGCTGAGACAAGCAGTTGTCCACACAGGACCTCATATTAGGCTTGGAGATGTCAATCATTGGATTTGCAGAAAGGCAAGCCTGTTTTCAATTTTGGGTTATTTCCTATTGCTTTGTGGCCTTGGCTAAATTTGTTTAGCAACTTTAAGCTGCAATTTCCTCATCTGGAAAAACGAAACAAAACGCAACATTATCTTACACATACAAAGCTTTACTTTATAATTTTCTGATGGTTAATTGAGATATCAATGAAAGTGATTAGAGTGCCTGTATTAGTCCATTCCTGTACTGCTATAAAGAAACACCTGAGACTGGGTAATTTATAAAGAAAAGCAATTTCATCGACTCACAGTTCTACAGGTTGTAATGGAAGCATAGAAGTTTCTGCTTCTGAGGAGGCCTCAGGAAACTTACAATCAAGACAGAAGATGAAGGGGAAGCAGAGATGTCTTACATGGCTGGAGCAGGTGGAAGGGAAAGAGACAGGAGGTGTCACACACTTTTAAACAACTAGATCTCACGGGAACTCACTATCACCATGACAGCACCAAGGAGGATGGTGTGTGAAACCATGAGAATCCTGCCCCATCATGATTCATTCACCTTCCACCAGGCCCCATCTCCAACACTGAGGAATAAAATTTGACATGAGATTTGGGTGGGGATGCAGATTCAAACCACATAATTCCACCCTGGTCTCTCCCAAATATCATGTCTTTCTCACATTGCAAAATACAATCATGTCTTTCCAACAGTCCTCCAAAGTCTTACCTCATTCCAGCATTAACTGAAATGTCCAAAGTCTCATCTGAGACAAAGCAAGTCCCTTTTGCCTATAAGCCAGTAACATCAAAACAAGTTAGTCACTTTCAACATACAATGGAGGTATAGGAATTAGGTAAATAACCCAGTTACAGAAAGGAGAAGTGGGCCAGAAGAAAGGGATTAGAGGCTCCACACATGTCCAAAACCCAGCAGGGCAGTCATTAGATCTTAAAGCTCCAAAATAATATTCTTTAACTCCATGTCTCACATCCAGGGCATGCTGGTGCAAAGGGCAGTTTCCCAAGGCTTTGAGAAGCTTTGGCCCTGTGGCTTTGCAGGTTTCAGCCCCCAACAGTTTATCCCAAGGGCTAGCATTGAGTGTCTGCAGCTTTCCCAGGTACAGGATGTAAGGTGCCAGTGGATTTACCATTCTGGGGTCTGGAGGCTGTTGGCCCTGTTCTCACAGCTCCACTAGGCAGTGCCCAGTGGGGACTCTGTGAGGGGGCTGCAATCCAGTGTTTTCCCTCGACATTGCCCTAGTAAAGGTTATTCATGAGGGCTTTGCCCCTGCAGCAGGGTTCCGCCTGGACATCCAGGCTTTTCCATATATCCTCCAAAATCTAGGTAGAGGCTCCCAATCCTCAACTCTTGCATTCTATGCACCTGCAGGCTTAACACCACGTAGAAGCTGCCAAGCTTAAGTCTCGTACCCTCTGAAGCAGTGGTCTCAGGTGTACCTGGACCCCTTTGAGCCATGGTTGGAGCTAAAGCAACCAGGATGCAGGAAGCAGTGTCTCAAGGCTGCACAGGGTAGTGGGGCCCTTGGCCTGGCCCACAAAACCATTCTATCCTCCTAGGCCTCTCGGTCTGTAATTAGAGGGGCTGCCCCAACGGTCTTTGATATGCTTTTGAGGCCTTTTCCTCATTGTCTTGATTACTCACACTTGGCTCCTTTTTACTTATAGAACATTTCTGCAGCCTGCCTGAATTCCTCCCCTGAAAATGGGCTTTTCTTTCCAATCACATGGATGGGCAGCAAATTTTCAAATATTGTCTGCTCTGCTTTCTCTTTAAATATAAGTACTAATGAAAACACATGGACACAGGGAGGGGAACAACATACACTGTGGCCTGTTGGAGGGTGGAGTGAGGGGAGGGAGAGCATTAGGAAAAATAGCTAATGCATGCTGGGCTTAATACCTACGTGATGGTTTGATAGGTGCAGCAAACCACCATGGCACACATTTACTTATGTAACAAACCTGCACATCCTGCATATGTGCCCTGGAACTTAAAACAAAAATAAAAATTAAAAAATAAAAAATAAATATAAGCTCCACCTTCAGGTCATTTATTTGCTCATGTATATAAGTATAGGTGGTTGGAAGCCTCTAGGCCACAGGATGAATGCTTTGCTGCTTATAAATTTATTCTACCAGATACCCCAAATCATCACTCTGAATTTGAAGTTTCCATAGACCCCTAGAGCAGGGGCACTATGCAGTCAGGCTCTTTGCTAAAGCATAGCAAAAGTGACCTTTACAACAGTTCCCAATAAGTTCCTCATTTCCATCTGAGACCTCCTCACCCTGGACTTCATTATCCATATCACTACCAGCATTTTGGTCACAACCATTCAACAAATCTCTAGGAAGTTCCAACCTTTCCTTATCTTCCTGTCTTCTTCTGAGTCCAAACTTCCAAATTGTTTCAACCTCCATTCATTACATATTTCCCAAGCTACTTCCACATTTTCAGGTATCTTTATAGCAATGCCCCACTCTTTGGCACAAATTTGCTAGTTTAATCCATTTTCACACTGCTATAAAGAAATATCATAGACTGGGTAATTAATAAAGAAAGAGGTTAAATTGGCTCACAGTTCTCTGGGCTGTACAGGAAGCACAGCAGCTTCTGATTCTGGGGAGGTCTCAGGAAACTTATAATCATGGTGAAAAGCAAAAAAGAAGCAGGCATGTCTTATGTCTTACACAGTTTTAAGCAACCAGATCTCACAATGACTCACTATCACTATGACAGTACCAAGGGGAATGGTGTTAAACCATGAGAAAACACTTCCATGATCAAATCACCTTCCACCAGGCCCCATCTCCAACACTGGGGTTTACAATTCAACATGAGAATTGGGTGGGGACACAGATCCAGGCACAGTTTCAGTGCCTGTTTTATGGTGTCAATACATACATAATAGCTATAAAGATAGTAGTTATCATCATTATCATTCTAGTAATAAAAGATGTCAAAACTAAAAGGAGAATTAATAAGTGAATATGAGAATAGTAAAATATTCTGGGCACCTGTAGACCTCTCTCCCTAAAAGTTCTTCTTTCTAATACTTATATTAAGGTATTTATCCATTCACTGATTTATCAAATATTTATTTTTTTCTTTTTTAATATTTTTTAAAGTTTTGTGGGTTCATAGTGGATGTATATATTTATGGGTGTATATAAGATGTTTGGATACAGGAATGCCATGTGAAATAAGCTCATCATGGAGAATGGGGTAACCATCCCGTCAAGCATTTATCCTTTGAGTTACAAACCATCAAATATTTATCAAGCAGCTAGTACATTACAGGCACTATTCTAGTGTTGGGAGTACCATTATTTAGATTTTGGTTCAATTCTCACTTCTTCAGAGAAGCATTTTCTTCCCCTCAAATATAAACAAGATCTCTTCATGATTATTTCCTTAGCACCATGCTTGTGCTTTTTGTACATATTTGGAATAATTTTATTTGCATGTTTATTTGTTTTATATCTCTTTCCCTCATGGAGAACAAAAACCAGAAGTTGGCATGGTGCTCAACAAATCAAAGTTATCCAATCCGTATTAAAAAATGAATGACATGAACTAAAAAAAGGAGTTTAAAAGTAATCAGATAAAAACTATTATCCCAACCTAGCCAGATATTAGTATTGCTTAGAAAAAACGAAAGTACTGCTTAGAAAAATAACAAGGAAAAGCTGGTAAGAACAAATGAAGTAGACCCTATCTTGAGTGGAACATGTAGTAGACCCTATCTTGAGTGGAACATGTATTAGAAAATGAACCCCTCATCTAATACTTAAGGAAATAAGCAAAATGTAGTAAAATGAGTGAGATTACTTAGCAAAAAAAAAAAAAAAGACAATAAAGAGGGCACAAATTAAAGAGTAGCTAAAGAAGAAAAAGACAATTCCATCTTTATAAAATATTCCATGCCTTCAGCATATCCAATCCCCTAAGTATTTGTTCATGCTTAGTGAAAGATACCCATTACGGTAGCACCTGATGTCACTTTTAAGTAATGAGGTTTGCAGTGGTTTATTTCATTGTTTTAATGCTTTTCAATTTTTAATAACCATGTATGATGTTATGACAAAATATACTTTTTAAATTTAAGATGAAAATAACAATGCCTAGATTCTAACAGTGGTTAATTCCAGGAGATATGGGATAAGGATGATTATAAGCGTATACTATTATAATATTTTTCCCTCTTCTTTTCTGTATATATTTTTATTGTAACCCACAAGACACCAGATGAATTGCTTGATGCAATTATGTAAGATAGTGTCTGAGTCTTCTGATGACATTTGTATGCCAGAACAGTGGGGCATGTCAGAAAAAGTGCAGGTCACGTTTGAAATTGGAACAGTTACGTACCTTATGTAGTGATTTATTCCTGAATTTATGACACAGCATTATACAGGGTTTTTTTTTTTTGTTTATATGACTCTTGTGCTAGAATATGAGACCCTCAAGATAGGAAGTTTGGCTTATTTCTTCACTTTCTATAGGATCTGACACATTGTAAGTGCTTCACAGTGTCTTGAAAGGAAGTGAATTGTCTTAGCTCTGTTACAACAGATTGTGAACGCTCAGCCATGCCAGGTAACATAACTTTGTTCTTCCCGATAAGCACATTTTCTATTATCCCCCTCATCAACAATAGAATATGATCTTTCTTGCTCCAGGAATAATGTTTCCAGATGACAGAAGTCTTCGGATACTTCAACTCAGGTGAGACACTTGGGTTTCCTCCGGAAAGAAACAGGGCTTTGGAAGCTCATCATATGCTTCATTTAATTACTTGCCAATTCAGTGTTAAGTTTCTCACGATGCTAATGGAGCCCTTGAGAAAGCTGAGAGAACGGTATAAAATGTCCTGATGTTTTAATGCGGTTGAGGGTGGCGACTGTTAGATATAATTTAATCTATAGGAACTAATAGCTTTTGAAATAATCGCGCCACTTGACTATCAACTGGAAAGCTACTCAGAGTAATTGAACACATATTCCAATTCAGAAAAATGTTGCTTATTTCTCATTTTTTTTATTTTTTTATTTTTGAGATGAAGTTTCACTCTTGTTGCCCAGGCTGGAGTGCAATGGTATGATCTCGGCTCACTGCAACCTCCGCTTCCGGGTTCAAGCGATTCTCCTGCCCCAGCTTCCTGAGTAGCTGGGACTACAGGCGCATGCCACCACGCCCAGCTAATTTTTGTATTTTTAGTAGAGACAGTGTTTCATCCTGTTGGCCAGGATGGCCTTGAACTCCCGAACTCAGGTGATCTGCCCACCTCGGCCTCTCAAAGTGCTGGGATTACAGGCATGACCCACTGTGCCCAGCCTTTGTGTTCTTGATGTAAATATTGGAACAAGTGGTTCTTACTTTAAGAACACCAGTGGGCAGCACCAATTATGACTTAATTCAGTGATCACCTTAAAACATTTTCACATATACATGTAAATTTAAAAAATGAATATATTTTTCTATAGGGGTGTGTGTGTGTGTACGTATATATATATATCTTAATGTCTTTATATATGTGTTTGTGCATACATTTAATCATATTAAGTAATTTATTTTTAAAATGTGAGAAAAATATGTATGAGAATTGTTCTATTTTACTTTGACACCCCAATAGATCAATCTGTAAATCCATAGAATGTGACCTTGCCACTCTGGAGACCACTCACTAAATAAAGGCTTGAATTAGACCATGTGGGCATATCCTGGCTCCGCCATCAATTAGTTCTGGGACACAGGAAGACTTTTACTCTCCCTGGGCTTGATTTCTCCATCATGAAATGGTCTCCCCCAGCAACAACAGTCGGACTCTCACTACCACTTCCGTGCATATGGCACACTGCAGGTACCTCTACTGAGCCCCCTCTGCCTTTCCTTGTGGCTGTGGCATGGGGATCTGCATCCCCCCGCCCCAAACAAACACAAATGGCTCTAGAGCTCAGCACTGTGCTAGGAGCTCTTCTGAAGAGGCTTCGGGAAGGTCAAATAATGACAATACATTATTATTTATTTGATTTGCTTTGTTTTGTGTTTCACCTCATTCAAAAATATTTAAGGGCTTCTACTTAGGTACCAATGTCTGGCCTATAGGAAGTGTTCAACAGATATTAATGGTTACATTCCTTATAATGGTTATCTTGAGAGGACTATACATCCTGTTAACAACCATTTCTTGAGTGTGTTTGGGGTATATCCCAAGGTACTTGGCATGCTAAATTATTAGAAAATAGACATGGCACCTTTCAATAAAAGACTCATCATGAGATTATTTATATAGAAATTATATATGGACTGCCCTCCATTTAAAAGTTTTTAATTGGAAAGTATCTTAAGTTGTGGCCTGATATAGTCTCCTGTTATTTATTTATTTATTTATTTTTAAGCATGACCTCCCAACTATCTTACTGGCAGGATCACTGGAGACAACTGTCAGAGGGACAGTGGAATACACATTGTTTGGTTCAACAAAAATCCAGCTATACCAAGAGGTACACCAATTAAAAACGACATTATTAAAGAATAAGTTCTGAGCATCTGTCC